>NC_000013.11:83757528-83910369 GCF_000001405.40 Homo sapiens
ATAAATTCCTGGACATATACACCCCCACCAAGACTAAACCAGGATGAAGTTTAATCCCTGAATAAACCAGTAATGAGTTCTGAAATTGAGGCAGTAATTAATAGCTTGCCAACCAAAAGAAACCCAGAACCAGAAGGATTTACAGCCGAATTCTACCAGAGGTACAAAGAGGAGCTGGTATCATTCCTTCTGAAACTATTCCAAACAATAAAAAAAGAGGGACTCCTCCCTAACTCATTTTATGAGGGCAGCATTATCCTGATAACAAAACCTGGCAGAGACACAACAAAAAAAGAAAATTTCAGGCCAATATTCCTGATGAACATCAATGCAAAAATCCTCAATAAAATACTGGCAAACTGAATCCAGCAGCACATTAAAAAGCTTATCTACCACAATCAAGTCGACTTCAACCCTGGGATGCAAGGCTGGTTCAACATACACAAATCAATAAATGTAATCCATCACATAAACAGAACCAATGACAAAAAACACATGATTATCTCAATACATGCAGAAAAGGCCTTTGACAAAATTCAACATCCCTTTATGCTAAAAACACTCAATAAACTAGGTATTGACAGAACATATCTCAAAATAATAAGAGCTATTTATGAATACCCACAGCAAATATCATACTGAATAGGCAAAAGCTGCAAGCACTCCCTTTGAAAACCAGCACAAGACAAGGACACCCTTTCTTACCACTCCTATACAACATAGTACTGGAAGTTCTCGCCAGGGCAATCAGGCAAGAGAAAGAAATAAAGAGTATTCAAATAGGAAGAGAAGAAGTCAAATTATCTCTGTTTGCAGATGACATGATTTTATATTTAGAAAACCCCATCATCTCAGCCCAAAAACTCCTTAAGCTGATAAGCATCTTTAGCAAAGTCTCAGGATACAAAAATCAATGTGCAAAAATCACACTCTTATACACCAAAAATAGAGAGCCAAATCATGAGTGAACTCCCATTCACAATTTGCTACAAAGAGAATAAAATACCTAGAAATACAACTTACAAGGGATGTGAAGGACCTCTTCAAGGAGAACTACAAACCACTGGTCAAGGAAATAAGAGAGGACATAAACAAATGGCACGCTCATTGGTAGGAAGAATCAATATCGTGAAAATGGCCATACTGCCCAAAGTAATTTATAAATTCAAGGCTACTCCCATCATCAAGCTACCATTGCCTTTCTTCACAGAATTGGAAAAAACTACGTCAAATTTCATATGGAACGAAAAGAAAAGCCCATATAGCCAAGACAATCCTAAGCAAAAAGAACAAAGCTAGAGGCATCACACTCCCTGACTTCAAACTACACTACAAGGCTACCACAACCAAAACAGCATAGTACTGGTACCCAAACAGATATGTAGACCGATGGAATAGAACAGAGGCCTCAGAAATAACACCACACATCTACAGCCATCTGAACTGTGAAAAACCTGGCAAAAACAAGCAATGGGAAAAGGATTCCCTATTTAATAAATGGTGTTGGGAAAACTGACTAGTCATATGCAGAAAACTGAAACTGGACTACTTCCTTACAGCTTTTACAAAAATTAACTCAAGATGGATTAAAGATTTAAATGTAACACCTAAAAGCATAAAAACCCTAGAAGAAAACCTAGGCAATACCATTCAGGACACAGGCACGGGCAAAGATTTCATGACTAAAACACCAAAAGCAATTGCAATAAAAGCCAAAATTGACAAATGGGATCTAATTAACCTAAAGAGCCTCTGCACAGCAAAAGAAACTATCATCAGAGTGAACAGGTAACCTACAGAATGGGAGAAAATTTTTGCAATCTATCTATCTGACAAGGGGCTAATATTCAGAATCTACAAGGAACTTAAACAAATATACAAGAAAAAAAAACTCCATCAAAAAGTGGGTGAAGGATATGAACAGATACTTTTTAAAAGAAGACATTTATGCGGCCAACAAACATATGAGAAAATGCTCATCATCACTGGTCATTAGAGAAATGCAAATCAAAACCACAATGAGATACCATTTCACACCAGTTAGAATGGCAATCATTAAAAAGTCAGGAAACAACAGATGCTGGAGAGAATGTGGAGAAATAGGAATGCTTTAACAGTGTTGGTGGGAGTGTAAATTAGTTCAACCATTGTGGAAGACAGTATGGCAATTCCTCAATGATCTAGAACTAGAAATACCATTTGACCCAGCCATCCCATTACTGGGTATATACCCAAAGGATTATAAATCATTCTACTAAAAAGACACATGCCCATGTATGTTTATTGCAGCACTGTTCACAATAGTAAAGACTTGGAATCAACGCAAATGCCCATCAACGATAGGCTGAATAAAGAAAATATGGCACATATACACCATGGAATACTATGCAGCCATAAAAAAGAATTAGTTCATATTCTTTGCAGGGACATGAATGAAGCTGGAAACCATCATTCTCAGCAAACTAACACAGGAACAGAAAACCAAATACTGCATGTTCTCACTCATAAGTGGGAGTTGAACAATGAGAACATATGGGGACAGGGAGGGGAATATCACACACAGGGGCCTATTGGGTGGTGGAGACCAAGGGGAGGGATAGCATCAGGAGAAATACCTAAATGTAGATGACAGGTTGATGGGTGCAGCAAACCACCATGGCACATGTATACCTATGTAACTAACTTGCATGCTCTGCACGTGTATCCCAGAATTTAAAGTATAATAATAAAAAGAAGAAGAAAAGCTAAAGCTGCCCTCAGCACAGTCTACTGGATGAGACAAAGTCATAAACAATTAACTGCCAGATAGTATGAGTGTAAATATAAGACACAAATATGGAAAGATGAAGGAACAAGCTACAATCTTCAAGGGAGCATCTTAAAGTGGTAGCATAGACTAGAAGATTGGTAAAGTCTTAGAATAGATTGGAGAACTTGATCAGCTTGGGAAGAACCCAATATACTCTAAGGCATTTGAGTCTTATCATAGAACAAAATGCAGAGATCTTAAGACAGAAAGAGCACCTCACTCCTCCTGCCTTTTTCCACTCACTTCTTTTTTTTCAACACATAAACAGAAAGGAGCAGTATTTTTTTATTCTTTGACATGAGCTAGGCAGTCCTTAAATACTTCTGAAATTCAAATTGGAAACTCCCTTCTTGGTTCACGTCTCTAGGAAGAATACAGTCCTCATCTCTTTTGCCTGAAAGAGCCTAGAACTAGTGCCCTTTCCAGTGCCTAGAACTAAAGATTATATGAAGGTATTTAATGGGTTTTTGCAAACAGAAAATATGGACTTTGGACAATCATGGACTCAGAATAGATTTTTGAACTACTAGATATCACAAAGAATAAAGATTCAGTGAGGAATTGAATGATAGCTGAGTTATTTCAATAACTAAGACATCAATTAAAAGGAGTTGTCTGAGAGCGGTTTATGCATTTGTTTTAATAAAAGTTATTACTATGAAATATTAATTATTTATTATTATAGCTAGTACTTAATTGGTGCTTCTTGCAGGGCATTCATTGTTATAATTGCTTCATATCATTTATTTATTTTTGTTTGTTTGTTTTTGGAGACAGAGTCTTTCTTTGTTGCCCAGGCTGGAGTGGAGTGGTGCAATCTCAGCTTACTGCAACCTCTGCCGCCCAGGTTCAAGTGATTCTCATGCCTCAGCCTCCCAAGTAGCTGGGACTACAGGTGCATGCCACCATGGCCAGCTAATTTTTGTATTTTAGTAGAGAAGGGGTTTCACCATGTTGGCCAGGCTGGTCTGGAAGTCCTGACCTCAAGTAATCCACCTGCTTCGGCCTCCCAAAGTGCTGGGCTTACAGGCATAAGCCACTATGCCCAGACAATTTTTTAAAATAATAATTGCCTCACATTATTAAATCACGGGCAAAGAAAATTGTACACGGTAAATGAAATTCTGAAACAATTACATATTTATTCGATTATTTCAATCACTTCAATATCATGTTTTACTGAAATTACAGTAGGGAATACAGGAAGTACCAATTAAAATACTCATGCAAAAAAAGTATGCTAAGACTGGTTTAAAAATAACCCTAGATATAGGCCACATATTGTGTTCAAATGAGGTCATGGTCTCAATTCAAGCTTATATAAAACACATAAAACATATTTTTAATCTTTGGCATCTCTTGTTTGTATGTGTGTGAGGATGTGCACGTGAATAGCAGTGATTTAATAAAATTATGCAGACATATGGCAAGAAGCTTGGCTTCGTGGCATGTTTAGCAGAATGACTTTAGTGATTTTTGAGTTATAAGTGAGCAAAAAAAGAATACTTTTTAACTTTGTAAAACATTTAGATTTTCATAACTCCATATAATCCAAAATAACAGCAGTTATAAACTTTCTACTTGGCAACCTTAACATTCTTATTTCAAACTGAAAGAAGCTTATGTTGTGAAGTCTATGGAAATGTAATCATCTGCAGTCTATTTTCAACACAAGCAGAAGAGGAGTTTGGTTTAAGACCATATTTAACTAAATAATTAAACCCTTGCAGATACTCTGATGTGTATAGCAGTGTAGCTGAAATGAGACATTAGCTAGCGAATTCTAAATTAATATACTCATTAATTTACCCCTATGCTAGCTTAATGCTATCACTTCAGAAAACTTTCAGTTGAATTATAATTTTTTTGCAATTTTTCATTTACTTTTGGTAAACATAATAAGATTATTTCTGATATGCTCCCTGATACTATGGCATTGAAAAAGATATCGTATATTTTTAAAATCTTTACTCTAAAGACAATAGTCATTTTGTTTTACATTTTTCAGTGATGTTGAACATTTTTTACATACCTGTTAACCATTTGTATGCCGTCTTTTGAGAAATATCTGTTCATGTCATCTTCTACCACAGTTAGAACAATAATTAAAAAGAAAAAAAAACCTAATGCTGGCAAGGATGCAGGGAAAACACTTGTATGCTGTTGCTAGGAATATAAATTAATATAGCCATTACGAAAAAACATTATAGAGATTTTTCAAAAAACTAAAACTAGAACTACCATACCATCCAACAATCCCACTACAGGATATTAAGTCAAAGGAAAATAAATCAGTATATCAAAGAGATACCTGCACTCACATGTTTATTGCAGCACTATTTACAATAGCAAAAGTATGGGATCAGTCTAAGTATCCATCAACATATATATGTATGATATTTTATATATACACAATTGAATATTATTCAAGCATTAAAAAGAATGAAATTACATCATTTTCAGCAACGTGGATGGAACTGAAGGTCACTATTTTAGGTGAAATAAGCCAGACACAGAAAGACACATGTTCTCACTCATATGTGAGAACTAAAAAAGTTAATTTCGTGGAGGTAGAGCGTAGAATAGTTGTTACTAGAGGCTAGGAAGGGTGTGTGAATGAGGGCAGATGAAGAGATGTTTGTTAATGGATGCAAATAAACAGAATAAGTTCTACTGTTTGATAGCAGAGTAGGTTAACTACAGTTAACAAGCATATTGTATACAGTTAACCCTTGAACAACACAGGTTGTAACTGCATGAATCCACTTATGTGCATCTTATTCCAACCAAAAACAGCTCAAAAACATAGTATTCGCAGGATGTGAAACCCACATATACAAAAAGCTGACTTCTTGCTTACAGGGTTTGCATGCATTTGGTTATATGCCAGCTGTCCTGGAACCAATCCCTCTGCATACTGGGAACAACCATATTTAAAAATAGCTAGATGAGAGGATTTTGAATGTTCCACAAACACAGAAATGATAGATACCTGAGGTCATGGATACCCTCAGTACTCTGACTTGATCATTGCCCGTTCTGTACATGTAGCAAGGTATCACATGTAATCCATAAATACGTACAAATATTATGTATCAATTTAAAAAGCATCCAGCTTTTTATTTTTTGCTGATATTTATAATACTGTGTATATTTAGGGGATACATATGATGTTTGAATACCAGTGTAGTCTGTGTGATGATTGGGTCAGCACAGTAGGGATCACCATCACCTCAAATATTTGTCCTTTCTTTGTGTCAGGAATATTGCAATTCCTTTTTTCTAGCTATTTTAAAATATACACTTTTAAAATTATATTTGATAGGCTCATGCATTTTTTCAAAAATAATATGCCAAATTAAAAAAAAATAGCCTGTAATCCTACCACTTTGGGAGGCCGAAGTGGGTGGATCACCAGAGGTCAGGAGTTCAAGACTAGCCTGGCCAACATGGTGAAACCGTGTATCTACTAAAAATACAAAAATTAGCTGGGCATGGTGGTGCATGCCTGTAATCCCAGCTATTCGGGAGGCTGAGGCAGGAGAATTGCTTGAACCTGGGAGGCGGAGGTTAGAGTGAGCCGAGATCACACCACCGCACTCCAGCCTAGATGACAGAGTGAGACTCTGTCTTTAAAAAAATAAATAAATAAATAAATAATAAAACTATATATTTTCTTCAAAGTTAAAAATAAGATGATAGCTGCTATTCTCTCTTCTTTTTTAAGCCACATTGTTAATGGTTTTGGGAAAGATAAAACAAAAAAACATATTTTTAAAAATATCATGAGGATCCATTGTAGAAGCTTTGAGATCATGTATTTAATTTGTCATTCCTATACAGTATAAAAAGCATTACAAGTTAAACCTTATTATCATAAGCACAAAGAAACTTTTCAAAGATTACTGTTAACATAAGTTTTCCATTATAAATGTGCTATGCAAGTTTTACTGCTCAGAGCATTTTGACATTATAACACAGTCTGACTCACATATGGATAGCAATAATCACCTGTTTACCATTTCCACAAAAGGGAAGCTGGAGAGATTTATCTCAGTCATAACTATTAAATTCTTACAAATGAATAATTTTTTTTTTTGAGATGTAGTCTCACTCTGTCGCCCAGGCTGGAGTTCAGTGGCCCAATCTTGGCTCACTGCAACCTCCGCTTCCCAGGTTCAAGTCAATTCTCTGCCTCAGCCTCCTGAGTAGCTGGGATTACAGGCACCTGCCACCATGCACAGCTAATTTTTGTATTTTTAGTAGAGACAGGGTTTCACCATCTTGGCCAGGCTGGTCTTGAACTCCTGACCACATGATCCACCCGCCTCGGCCTCCCAAAGTGACAAATGAATAATTTTAAATAAAATTAAATGACTTATAGATATTTTGTGTTCTTTTCTCTTGAACAATTCCTGCAAAATATTGTACATTTATATATTTCCAAAATGAAAGATGGCCTTAAATTGTATGATAGATATTTTAGTTTATATTTTTATTAAAAAGCCAGGCAGGGCGAGGTGGCTCACACCGGTAATCTCAGCACTTTGGGAGGCCGAGGAGGGTGGATCACCAGAGGTCGAGAGTACGAGACCAGCGTGACCAACATGAAGAAACACTAAAAACACAAGATTAGCCAGGCACAGTGGTGCATGCTTGTAATCCCAACTACTCGGGAGGCTGAGGCAGAAGAATCACTTGAACAAGGGAGGCGGAGGTCGTGGAGAGCCGAGATCATGCTATTGCACTCCAGTCTGGGCAACAAGAGCGAAACTCCATTTCAAAAAAAAAAAAAAAATACAGGTAATAATATTTTTATTTCGATTTATAATGAAAAATGAAAGGTTTTTTGTGTCTGCGTGTTTGTGTGTGTGTGTATATATACATGTTTGTGTGTATATATATGTGTTTGTGTGTATATATATATATGCAATGTTCTGTGTTAATTCAGTTATTTCAAGCCCATACATTTTTAAATAATCACGAATATTGAATAGTTACAAAGAACTTTTCAAATTCTTATTCTGTTGGAACATTATACATGGTTACTCACTCTCATTCTTAAAAAATATGTGTTATTTATTGGAAGTCTTTCAGTTTCAAAAAACTGGCAATCCTAAACCTAGTGAAATTTGTTCATAGCTACCCCTAGGATCAGATATTGGTAAAAATTTCTGAGTTTTATTCCCACCTCTATTATTCTATGTCATGTTACTTCTATATCCTTCTGTAAATAATTTCATTTATAACAGAATTTAAGTTTATGTAATGGTCATTTTTCATAATTGGAGCAGGAATAGTTTTAAAAATATTTCTATTTCACTTTTTAGTCTAAAAAATAAAACACTTGAACATAGGTAGCTACGTACCTTCAGTTTGTGTTGTAGGAAAAAAATTCCTTCTCAGACTAAATTGAAAGTTTTGAACTTGAGGTTTTTACAAGAGCTGCTCTTTATAGTAACTCTGTTTAAAGCATTGGTGGTACGCTAATTAGCCTCCTGTCCTGGCTATTGATGGAAAGAATATAAAATACATGCCAGTATTCATGGTGCAATTTGAAGCTGATGAAGTCAATGCAAATGTCATGTATGGGATTTTTCAGAGAGAGAGGATAGGATGGGGATAGGGACAGAGTGTTCCTCTATGAAAGAAGTGTTTGTTCAGGCTGCTCAAATGAACTACTTGTTGCTGTGCTCAGCTGGCTCAAATCCACAAACTTTAGACCTCACATGTTCTTAGCATCCCTTTGTTTGGTATACTAATACTGTATTTTTAGCAGTTATGAAGATTCCTGACATTGTTCAAGTATCCAAAAACAAAGTGATGATATTTTTGTTATTAATCCACTCTATCAGGACAAGAGTTATGTCAAACACCATACACATAACGGCATGTGGCTATATTGTAGATACTAGCACAAAATCAATGAAATCTTTTGCGTTGAACATCTTTGTATAGTAGAAATGCACTTGTGTTTGTGTTAATATCATGCACATTTGTCATTAGTCTCTTCTCTATAATATTTTTAAATATGTAATGTGATAATGTTTTACATTTTATAACATGGTAAAATTTAAGAAGTGTTGTTTTTTAATTATAATTTTTTAAAAATATAGTTTGTTTTACTCACAGAGATACCCAGCAAGTCCTTACGCACCCTTAATTCAGCTCCAGAGTAAATTGAATTAAGCTATGGCTCAATTAGAAATTGTGTGTGTGTGTATGTGTATGTTTAGAAAAAAATGGGACAGCAGTGGCATAAAAAAATAAACACACTGTTTATCATTATGTAAGTGCAGTGATTTCTAAATTTGATATAAATGCACCACTTTTAACTTAAAAGGATTATATTCCAGGATAGTAAACTAGATAAGAAACATAAAAATATAGGTACCAATCAGAGCTAGAAATATATTTTTAAGGATAAGAACAGATATAAAATATTGCAGCAAGCTTATTTTAAATATAGTTATGATAAAAATTCAAAAAAATTGAAATCTTTAATCAGCTAAGTATAGATCAATGATGAGCTGTTAAGGAATTACTGATCAAATATAAGTTTGGAAATGTGTTAATAATTTTACTTTATTATTTTGAATTTGGCATTGTACTAACATTATGGAAATGCTTACATTCATTATAGGTCATGTGGTATAATAGTCAGATATTTAATAGAAGAGCTTACAAATAGTGTAGCTCACTAATAGCTTATATCAAACAATCAATTAACCAATATCATAAATAAAAATATTTGAAGTGAGATATTTTAAATTGGGGAAATAATTTTAAAATGTATAAACTAAATTATTGAATAGCATTACACTGTAATGTATTAATATAGTATTTTAAAGAAGGATCTCAAATAGATTTAGGTTCAACCAAATACTAGAAAAATGATAAAATAATAGATATCTAAAACTGCAAAATTTTTATCAAAATATTTAATAAAGTTGTTTGTTTTACTCTTTCCCTCAAGATACCCCAAATAGAAAAGAAACTACATTGTGAGTCTCAAACTTTGGAATGTACTAGAAACACTTGGAAGTCTTGTTAAAACTTAGATCACTGGGCTCAACTTTCTGATTGAGAAGGTCTGGGGTGGGACCTGTGAATAAGCATTTTTAACAAGCTCCCCAGTGATAGCAGTGCTGTGGTGAACACCACACTTTAAAAACCACTAGACTACTAACAAAATAAGGAGATATCAGCATACATGATGTATAAAAATGCAAAGCCAAATTAAATTTCCACTATTTTCAAGGATATGATTGCATTTTTGTTTTCACTTATCAATTTAAACAGTGTGAACCAAGTGAGGTATATTAAGTGACTTTATTTATCCCTTCATCCAATCATGGGTCTATAATTTTATGGTCTTTGTTAGGTATGAAAATGTTAGAAAAATTTTTCAACTTAATCCTCTATTCTGATGTCTATTCAATGTTTGTCTTCTTTTCCTCTCTGCCTATGTCCAGCTTGATTCATGGTCTTAGTAACCCAAGTGCTTTAGGTGGTATGGTCTGTTTTCTCACTGCTACCTCACTTTTTTGGATTCCTTCAACCTCTACTGGGTTTATATAGAAACAAGAAAAGTAGAAAGGGACAAATGTTTCTTTCAGCTACTTTTTCCTTCCTCTCTTCTCTAACAGTAGGAGATTACTGTTATCCTCTGTAACAAAAGTCTGAGGTCTGGCCATCTCCCTGCCTACATGGATAAACCTCCTGACTAGAGATCCCTAATGAGGGTGAATTCTTCTAGCTCACCTTCTTCTAACTCTTCTTCAACTACCATCCTACAGTCTTTTGTTCATTTGGCTGCCAGCCAGCCTTCCCAATGGAGAAACTGGCAACCTGCTTGAAAATTTTATTATCATCTACTATAAATACAATGGAAATTTCATGCATCCTTGCCACATGGAGTGATGGTTATGCTTGCAGTTCCACCACACATCTCCTTTCTGCCTAGGATGGTCACTTTGATTTTCTCCTTTTGATAGTCTGTTCTTGCATAAAACTATCACCCCTGCTTAATAAGGACAAGTAACTGAAATAGGAGATTCAGGAAATAAATTCAAGATCAAAGATGAGTTGATTTTGGAAGTTCATATTTTGAGTAAAACTGAGATATTCAAGAAGAGATATTGGATGGAACTCATTGATTTAGCATCATACATGTCTCAAAAAACTTTGAAGCCATGGTTCAAAATGAGATCTCTAAGGGTAAGTGTGTGAAGGAAAAATTAGAGAGGAAGAGGAATAGAAACTTTTGTTGGATAAGTAGGAACAGAGAATCGGTTAGAATGTTCAAAAAAAAATTGACAATATGGAGGCATCACTAGAGCAAGGCAGGCTTCCAGATTGTGTCAAAGTTACACAGAAATAGAGTAAGATTGATGCAAATCAGCTGGGTTGTCAAATTTAACTCATTGGTGGAATTTCTGCTTTTTAGTAGAAATAGTAGGTTATGGCAGACTGACATTCCCACTAAAGACTGTGGGAAAAGCTAGGTAAAATACTAAAATAATTTAATTAAACTCATCAGATAATTATAGATGCAAACAAGTTTATGTTGATAAAACTTCAGACAAAGAATACTTCTCAAAAGTGAGCTAATGATGGCAGACCCTTTCTCCCCAGGGTATTTCTTATTATGAGTATAGGTTCAAGGCTGAGGATTGAGGTTTGGCTAAGGATTGAGGTTCAGCTCAGGCAGAGCATGAGCACCCTGCTGACAGAAACAGTTGCCACCAAATCTTGTACTGGTTGTGCAGAACCGGAGTGACAAAATTGAAGACCTGGTAATCCTGAATAACAAAAGGAAAACTGGAAAATTCACATGTGGAGACTAAACAACATGTACTTGGACAACCATTGGGTCAAAGTAAAAAAATCAAAAAGGAAATTAGAAAATACTTCAAGTAAAATGAAAATGAAAACACGACATACCAAAGCCAATGGAAGTTCATAGTGCCCAACTCCTATATTAAAAAACAAGAAAGATCTCAAATAACCTAACTTTACACCTCAAGGGACTAAAAAAAGACTAAAATCTTAGTCCAAATTTAGGAGAAGAAAGGAAACCACAAACAGCAGAAATAAATGATACAAAAAGCATCAGAAAAAAAAATCAACAAAATTAACAGTTGGTGGAATTTTTTAAAGATAAGCAAAATTTATAAACTCTTAACTAAACTAAGGAAAAAAGAGAAAACTCAAAGAGATAAAATCAGTAATGAAATAAAAGACATTACAACTATTGGGAGCTCAGCTATGAAAACGCAAAGGCAACAGAATGACACAATGGACTTTGGGGACTCAGGGAAAAGGGTGGAAGAAGGGCGAGGGATAAAAGACACATTGGGTACAGTGTACACTTATTGAGTGATGGGTGCACCAAAATCTCAGAAATCATCACCAAAGAACTTATTCATGTAACCAAATAATGATAATAATAACAATAAGAATAATTTGAAAAGTTAAAAAAAAAAAAAAAAAAAGGAGAGCCTTTAGAGCTATCTGGATCTCCTTTTACCATGTTAGGATACAATGAGAAGTCAGCAGTCTGCAACTTGGAAGAGAGCCTTCACAGAACCTGACTGTGCTGGCATTCTGACCTCAGAATTTTAGCCTTCAGAGCTGAGAGAAATAAATTTCTGTTGTTTATATATATTTTTAAAAAGACATTACAATTGATGCCACGGCAATAATAAGGATTATGAGACCTTACTATAAACAATTATACTCCAATGATTTGTACAGCCTAGAAAAAATGAATAAATTCTTTGAAATATACAAATCACCAAGAATAATTTATAAAGAAATAGAAAGCCTAAACAGGCCTACAGCTAATGTACAGAATGAATAGGCAATCAAAAACCTCCTAAAAATAAAAAAAGTTCTGTATCTGATGGCATCACTAATAAATTCCACCAAACAAGTAAAGAAGGAATAACATCAATCTTTCTTCAACTTTTCCAAAAAAATGAAGAGAGAACACTGTCAAACTGATTTTATGAGGCCAGCATTACACTGATACCAAAGGCAGACAAACAAAAAAGAGAAAACTGCAGATGAAAATCCTCGATGAATCTAGATGCAAAAGCCTCAGCAAACTACTAGCACATTCAATCTAACAATGTATTAAGGACAACACATCATAGCCAAGTGGGACTCATCTCTAGGATTCAAGCATGCTTCAACATATGAAAATCAATTAGTGTGATATACCATATTAACAATATACAGAATGAAAATCTCAGAGTAATTTAAATAGATGCAGAAAAAGCATTTGACAAATTCAACAACTTTTTGTGATTTAAAAAAGAAACTCTCAACAAAATAGGAATAGAATGAAATTACCTCGACATAACAAAGGCCATGTATGAAAACCTCACAGATTTTTCAATGCTCAATGATGAAAAGCAGAGCTTTTCCTCTGATATCACGAACAAGGTACGGATACACATTTTCACCACTTCTATTCAACATAGCACAGGAAATCCTAGCTAGAGTAGTAGAGAAAGAAATAAAGGAATCCAAACCACACAAAAAATAAGTAAAATTGCCCTCGTTTGCAGATATAATCATATATATACATGATCCTAAAGACTCCTTAAAAAACTGTTAAAATAAAAAAAAAATTAATAAAGTTGCATGATACAAAATTAACATACAAAAGTACGTTGTGTTTTTTCACACTAACAACAAACCAAAAAGAAAATTAGGAAAATAGTCTCATCTACAATAACACCAAAAAGATTAAAATAGCAAAAAAAAATTGGTTTTAATAAGCAAAGTCTTTGAATAGACATTTCTCCAAGGAAGACATACAAATGACCAGCAACTATATGGAAAGATGCTCAACATCACTAATTATCAGGAAAATGCAAATTGAAACTGCAAAATGCTATCACCTCACAACTGTTAGAATGACTATTGTCCTAAAGATAAAAGGTAAGTGTTGACAAGGATGTGGAAAAAAAAGAAACCCTTGCATACTTGGTAAGAACGTAAAATATTTCATCCATTGTGGAAAACGCTATGAAGGTTCCTCAAAAAATTAAAAATGTAACTACCATGTGATGCACCATTCCCACTTCCGAATATACATTCAGAAGAGTTGAAATCAGAAACTCAAAGAGATATTACCACTCCATGTCCATTGAAGCATTATTTACAATAGCCAACATGCAGAAACAATCTAACTGTCCACTGAAAGATAAATAGATAAAGAATATATGGTTTACACATTAAATAGAATACTACAAAAGAAGGAAATTCTTCAATATTTGACAACATGGATGAATTTGGAGAACAGTATAACCCAGTCACAGAAAGACAAATATTGCACGATTCTACTTACTTAGGGGGGCATCAAAAATCATCAAATGTATAAAGTCAAAGAATGGATTGGTGGTTACCAGGAGCTGGGAAGAAGGGAATATGGAAAGTAGCTAATCATGGAGCATAAAGGTTCAGCCAAGCAAGTAAAATAAGCTCTAGGGATCTGCTGTACAACATTTTACCTGTTATCAACCACGTATTGTATACTTAAAAATTTGAGAGAGTAGATCTCATGTTAAGTGTTCCTACCATAGTAAAACACAAAGGAAAAAATAGACATTTCAGGAATGTTTGTTTCAAATTTATTTCCATCTGAAAACATTGAGGGAAAAAATAAACTCATTCAATTCTGGACTACAGTCAATATGTAGAAATGCTTTTCCTTCATCTGATATAATTTTATTTATTTTTATTTTTTAATTGACAAGTATAAATTTTATATAGTTATACACACCATTATGTTTTGATATATTTATACATTTGTGGAATGGCTAAATTGTGCTACTTAACATATACATGATCTCACATACTTCTTTTTTAGTGAGAAAACTGTAAAATCTACTCTTCAAACAATTTTCAAGTATGCAATATATTGTTATTAACTATAGTTGCCATAATGCCAATACATCGCTTGAACTTATTTATTTTGCGTGACTGAAATTTTGTTCCTTTTACCAACATCTTTTCAATCTCCGTAGCCCCAGCCTCTGGAAATCATTATTTTACTCTCTGGTTCTATGAGTTTGACATTTTTAGATTCCCATGAGTAGAATCTTAAATGGCATCCTTGAGAGAAAATTCCAAGAAAGAAAATTCTAATTTCCCTGACGATTCTATATTTTCTAGCTTATGGTCATTTACATTCCTAAAAAAAATCATCATAAGAACTGACATTTATTTGATACTTGCATTTGTCTGTTTTCACGTTGCTAATAAAGACATATCCAAGACTGGGCAAATCACAAAAGGAAGAGGTTTAACTGGACTTACAGTTCCACCTGGCTGGGGAAGCCTCACAATCATGGTGGAAGACAAGGAGGAGTAAGTCCCTTCTTAAGTGGATGGCAGCAGGAAGAGAGAGAATCAGGAAGACCCAAAAGCGCAAACCCCTGATAAAACCATCAGAGCTCCTGAGACTTATTCAACACCACGAGAACAGTATGGGGGAAACCGGCCCCATGATTCAATTATCTCCCACCGGGTCCCTCCCACAACACGTGGAAATTATGGGAGCACAATTCAAGATGAGATTTGGGTGGGGACACAGACAAACCTTATTAATATTTACTTGTGTTAAGTCAGAGAATGCTAAGAGTCTGAAATTTTACCTTATTTTCAAGCAACAAGGCAGCCAAGTACAGTTACATATTCACACATATAACAGAAGAAAAGAACCTGGGTCAGAGACATATACTATTTTTAGTTATTTATTCAGTTAGAAACAGAGTCTCCCTCTGTCGCCCCAGCTGGAGGGCAGTCTTGTGATTTTGGCTCACTGCAACCTCCACCTCCTGGGTTCAAGTGATTCTCTTGCCTCAGCCTCCCGATTACAGGTGCACGCTGCCATGCCTGGCTAATTTTTTGTGTTTTAGTAGAGACGGGGTTTCACCGTGTTGCCCAGGATGGTCTAGTACTCCTGAGCTCAGGCAATCCACCCACCTCAGCCTCCCAAAGTGCTGGGATTATAGGCATGAGCCACTGCGCCCGGCCATTTACTGTTTATTATTCACAGCAAAATAATATCAGCAGTTCCCTGTGCCCCAAATTTTGCAGGACTTGTCAGCACAGGTGAGGAAGCATGAACTTTAGAAGATTCTGACCTTCAGTGGGGCTGCCTGTTATTTTCTCAACCTCTTTTATAGAGAGATTAACATTACTAGTTACCCTGGAATGTAAGCAAATTTCTTCCATGAGAGTGTAAGATGACATCCCTCATGTGATACCATACCATAATGTAAGCCAAGTTTTTAGGTAGGGGAAGAAGGGGGCTCTATTTTCAATAGCCTAGGATAAGATGACTCCAAATCTCTCCACAGGGATTAATTATCTCTAACTTCCAATTCGATTTGCTATTCAAGCATGCCCTTTGCTCAGAAGTCAAGATACCATACAGAAATACAAGCAGAGAAAATACGTGTGTCTAATAAACATATTCTTAAGGAATGCAAATTATACTAATAATGAAATACTACTATACACCACTAGAATGGTGATTATCATTAAGAGTGACAATATCAAGTATTGGCAAGGATATGGAGAAACTGAAACACTTTTACATTGTTGATGGGACCCTAATGTTATGCATAAGCAAAAATATTATGCTTAGTTAAAAAGACCAGGCACAAAAGAAGCCAGATAACATTTATATGAGAGTCCAGAGAAGACAAATTTATAAAAATAGAATGGGAATCGGCAGTTTCCTGTTGCTAGGCATAAGAGCAGGGATTGACTTCACACAGGCATGAGGAATGTTTTTGTGTGAAGAAAACTAAAACTGGATTGTGGTGGTGGTTGTGCAACTGTGTGTATTTACTAAATATTACTTGAGTAATACACTTACATATGGTGAATTTAGATTATACTTCACTAAAGCAATTTAAAAAGAAAGAATAGGCACTCACAATACATCTGAATTTTAGATGCAAGAAAACGAAAAGTAATATTTTTAATTCAGATGACTATGAATTATATCAAAGACAATGTTAAAACTACCATACCATGCTTAATATCCTTTGGTACCACTCAATGCAAATCCCACTGCTTTTGTATCATCTCTACACCATAACTCTCATTAATTCCCCTTTTCTAACAAAAGTTCTACTGCCCTACTCTCACTCAACCCTTCTGGTGATTTCCTATGAAGTCACTATTCTGTAATGAACAATTTCCTCTAAATCCAGAATCTTTCACAGAGATCTTTAACCTCCTTGCCTTCATTGAAAATGTATATCCTTGAGAATCATGCCTCTTATATCCCTGTGAAGTAAAAGGACCTCTTACTCTGACATCACAGGTATTCCTTACACCCTGCCACTTCCACACGATTACATTTATGCCCTTTTATACCAAGCTCCGTTCATTGAAGCTTATCTATGCTATCATAATGCACTCTTCTTTTATTGAAAAAAATGCAGTGCATTACAAATGGTTCACAAAAATGCCATTTAGCTATATCTGTCTACTTTATGTTTATAAATGGCAGTGGCTTTGCAGAATTTCTGAGTATTTTATATTGCACTCAGTTTCCTATTACAAACAAAGAACTATATTGTACAGTGCTGGAAAATCCTTCAAATTAGGCTAGACGTGATGCTTAATCTAAAGTTATTACCCAGAGTTAGAAAACTCATCGGGAACATAGACATATAATCATCTATGCAAACAAAGAACTAGGAATCTTCCCAGCTACCTCAAACTTGATATTCTTCTGTGGTATTTAAACCTACTTCTCATTTTTAAAAGCAAAAATAACTTACATGTCTGCCACTGTGAAATATTTTAGACTCTACGCCATGTGTCTACATGACATTCACAAACAACCCAGCAAACCACCCCTTTACCACATCCTACATCCCAGATATTTTCCTTCTTGCCAGCGTAGTTTTGTGGTGTTAAATTGGCTCAAAGGCACACATGCACACATACACACAAACACACACACACCATCAAAATCAAAATACTCAAAAAAACTAAATAAATAATGTTAGATATATCAATGTATAAAATAAGTAAAATACATATCCAAATCTCAAATGTAGTATTTCTATTTAAATTACTTTTTGATTCTTTATCCAAATACCTAGTTCAAATGTTCAAATTATTAAACCAACTAAAGAACATATTTATGGCTTGTTTTTAGAGAGAGAGTCCCACTCTGTTGCCCATGCTGGAGTGCAGTGGTGCAAGTCTCGAACCCCTGAGCTCACGTAATCCTCCTGCCTCAGTCTGCCAAGTAGGTAGGACTACAGGCATGCACCATGACACTCAGCCCATGTTTATAGCTTCAAGTAGAACATAAACTTTCCATTTCCCAAAAGCATACCTTTGACAAAGTTAAACACTAAATTTAAGCAGTTTCTTTACAGGTAAGCTGTAACTAATTTAAGTATTATTTAAACAAACTAAATCCACTTATTTGAAAAACAGATTTTTAATCCATTAGTTATTGGCTGTCCTCTTTTAAGGTATAATGTATTAATATTTATTAAATGAACCAACTTCATCAACACTATTCATATTCAAATGATTGGTGTACAATCTCATATCTCCTATTATCCACTTTTCTGTACTTCCTGTATTCTCGTACATTCTCTCCTTGCTTTGAACAGTAATCAAGCTCTCTTTATGCTTTGGCAGAATCTAGAAATCAGAATGAGGCAATATGTTAGATTTTCCTCCTTTCTTTACCTTTTTATTGTGTGTGTTCTTGTGTGTGTGTGTGTGTGTGTGTGTGTGTGTGTGTGTGTGTGTGTGGTGTGTGTTTTCTATGCTCAACATTGTATTTCACCCAGCTTTTAAGCTTGGTTATTTCAACCTCAAAAATGCCATCTTCTTACTTACACATACATTATTTAAGACCTCCCTTTAAACTGATGAAATTTTATTTCAACGAATATAGATTGGACCTGACAGAAACATAATGTATACTTGAATTAAACAGCTTTAATCATGCTTTTTCACTATGCTGGCAACTAACCTTGACCAGGCATGTGGAACAACTTAGTAAGGTTTTAAAATCACTTGAAGTTTTATCATATTGAAACAGAAGGCTAGTAATGCCAAAGTCAAAATAATCATTGTTATTTCTGGTAAACATAATCAAAGCATTAAAATGAGTGAAGATGAAAAGTGTAGTGAGATAGACGAAGATATCATTTTCAATAAATATCAAATATAGTTAAACTAGGTATTACATGAACACTGACCTCAAAAGAGTATGTCCAGTGGTTTAAAATTAATATTTTTAAAGTCAGCGAAGTTTTTTTATATTTTAGTAAGGATGATTTGATTATACTATAAAATAACTACTTTATCTACAAATGAATTAATTTTCACACAAAGGGTTTAAAGCAATTGAAGACAACTAATCCAAAAACAACTTGCAAATTTATTGGCTATGGTCCTAGACATGTTTATAAGCCTCTGGTTTACTATTGGTTTGTAATATTGTATACTATTATTAGTACTTATGAATAATTGCATATGTATGTTAACCTACATAATTTATTCATTGTCATACATTTCATTAAATATCAGGAATTCAGTTCATGACAGAATTGCTTTGTTTTTAATTAAAGTAAGGGTAATATAGTAAAGATTATTTTATAATGATTGAACAAAAAATCTTTTTATGAATGTGTAGATAATCCATTAATACTATAGCTTTTAATTGTAATATTATCTGATGATTGATTACCTGTGAATTAAAGTAACCAAATGTAGACTTCTTTCAACTTTAATTATTTTGGTCTAAATCATCTTTTTCACAAAATTATGGAATGTGCTTGCTTTTTAAAAAAATTACAAGCATTCTAATTACATATTTTCTCCAAACAAATTCACATTGTATTTCTGAAAAGAATAGCTAATATGACATAACCTGTGTACTCCAAAAACATCACACAAGTGACTGACCAGAATCCTCAGGGCTTCTGACTTATTTATGATTGCTAATTGAACAATACACTTCCTCTGGGCAGAAAATGGTGTTTTTATGGTTACATGATAGTTTTTGTCTTTGTTTTCTTCTCATTTAATTGTTATTTATCAAATTGATGTTCCAAGTGGTCATTTTTTGTTAAACATATTTTAAAAGATCTGGTGGGCAATGGCATTAGTTTTACAGTTCTTAAAAAGCAAAATATTGTCTTACTAAAGAAGAATATCAGTTTAATCTATGTTTTTCTTCCTAACCTCACTGAAAAGAAAAATGACCTATGACTTCTGATCATCAAGCCACTTATTCAATATTCTTCCACTTACAAGGTCTCTCAATAATTATAATCTAGTAATTATTCCTCGCTTAAATTTATCAAATTCTATTTAATACTACATAAATTGAGCAGCCATAGCAGCCATAAGGTCTTACCTGCAAGCTTTATACAAGTTTAATCCCTAAATTCTAAAGATCTCAATCAGGGTAATTCATGTAACTACTGGTGCCTGATATTATTGAAAGTTATAGAACCAAACTAGGCTTCCAAAAAATTGGGCTTAGATGAACTCTTTTATGTCCTTATTCTTTTAATTTGCAGAAAGATCAAAATCTTTATATCACAAGTTCTCAATATCTGCAAACTGTGCTAGGACAGTCTTCACATTTGCCACAATAATCTCAGTTTGGCAGAATAAAGACAAATTTAATAACAGCTTTGAAGTTTGAGCAGTTCCACGCAGTATGTTACAACAATGTTAATGGAAGAAATGTAGAAAATAAATAAGTAAAACTGTACTGAATATTCATTCTTCAAATAACCAATGTGAGTCAGAAAGAGGTTTATTTGTGTGTTTGTTTGTTTGTTTGTTTGTTTGAGATGGAGTCTCTCTTTGTCGCTCAGGCTGGAGTGCAGGGGTGCAATCTTGGCTCACTGCAGCCTCTGCCTCCTGGGTTCAAACGATTCTCCTGCCTCAGCCTCCTGAGTAGCTGGGATTACAGGCATCCACCACCACACCCAGCTAATTTTTGTATTTTTAGTAGAGATGGGGTTTCACCATGTTGGTCAGGCTGGTCTCAAACTCCTGACCTCAGGTGATCTAGCTCCCTTGGCCTCCCAAAGTGCTGGGATTACAGGCATCAGCCACCACACCTGGCCCTCAGAATTAGTATTTTGATGTTGGAAATCTTCTTCAGCCCTAGTGACTTTTGTAAAAGTCCTACTGTTATTTCCGGTGACTTATTTTACTCAGATTTTCACTTATTTTATATATATGTATTATAATATGTATTATATATATATTTCATTTGTAAATGTATGTATAATTTATTATACATACATATATATAATTCATTTAATACTTAAATGATATTTTTATATGCAAGGCCCTATGCTAACTGCTTAAGATACAAATGCAGAAATGCAGCCATAGCCTCCACTATGATTCTGCTTGAAATCTAGTATTAATAGAAAAGAATTTCCTTCAGTTATTGTTGAGAAACCTCTAATATAACATCTTTTGATACAATGATGAGAATACATAGATGTAAAGCCAAGTTTTGCAAGTTTCATTTTACTCCACCAGCCCTTCAAACATAGATTTGGAAGCAAATATGTAAAAATGGTGAGAAAATTGCTCATTTTCAAACTCTAATTAGCATGGTTTTCTCTGCATAAGAAGAAAACTGAGGAATTGACAAATTCATCACATTGGTAAAGCTAAACCTAATTTTAAAGTTTTATTTGAATTGTCTGACTAATTCACTTGTAACTGCGTGTTATTTTAAATTTCCTTAATGTATTTTTTTTTCAAGATGTCTGAATATGAACATCAGATGCCAGTTCTCCTCAAAAGAAGACCAAAGTTACAGGTGAATGGTCATGATCTGAATTGAAAACTGAGGAAAGAGAGCCAGGATCTGTCAGAAAGCCCACAGGTAGAGGCTGGGGCATAGAAAACAAAAGTAGCAAGAACCTGGCTATGATTGACCCCAAGAGAACTTGAAGTCCTGCAGAAGGGTAGGCAGGGATGCTTCTCAACTCCTTTTACTCTTGTAACAAACTGCTGACTGCCAAATTGTCAGAGAGCCCCTCTGGCCTCATGATACCAGGCAATGCTGTTAGTGGAGATTTGGGAACTTCCTGGAGAAAGAGGACTGGGTGGCCAGTTCATTCTTGTGCACCCACACTCCCCTCAGACATGAACTGAGACCAATTGTGCACCCATTGTGGGCCAGTGCCCTGCACAGAGAACTCAGCTCTTGAGTTGCAGCATCACCATATCCCTCACAAACATAGCCCACAACTTGCTCTGACTTTGGCAGGCACAGGGAACCTGAAGGACCTTGGGGAGCTGTGGGGTTTCTTAAGACCTAGTCCCACACATGGGTCACCCCTAGAGGAAGGGGCAGTGCAGCCCATCAAAGCCTCCTTTGGGATAAAAGAAACATGCCCGCAGTGCCAATTGCTGAATGAGGCAGCATTGGTAGCTAGGAGCAGAGGTGAAGAGGGGATTATCTCCTGCTCCTCCCATCCACTATTGTGGATGCAGCAGAGACTTTCCCCTCTGGGGGCTGGCATGAGCACACATGATGGAGACAGTTTTCCCAGCACTTTTCGTGGCAGCTATATGCCCACTGAAAGGAAGCATACCCCACCCAGGCTTACATGAAGGACAGGGCCCATCTCCTTTTTCCTATGCAGAGCAGCAGCATCCTGGAAACACAGGGCGGACAACCTGCAGAGCTGTCTGCTCTGAACAGGGAAAGAGGCTCTGCCCTGAGGCCATTTCAGTGGTAGCCACCAGAAGGGTGTTTCAATGGGCCTCATTTGCACTGTAGCTAGGAATCAAATGAAAATGTCTACATAAACTGAAGGTCATAAGTCCTGTCATAGGGGTGTAATAGGGAAGTGGATTGCATTCCTGCTGGCCCAGGATGACGTACAGGTGCAGCCCTCCAACTTACTTCTATCTCTGAGACCTCAGAGCAATCCAACACAAACTTCTCCTGCCATGTCATCAGAGCTGTTGCCTCCACTCATTATCAGACTACTGGACCGTAAGCCGGGTCTTACTCGTAATCACCACCTACTGGACTAGAGACTGAACTGCACCACCAAATAAAAAACCTGCTATCAGAAAGGCAAAGTGCTAGCATATGAGATAAGCTTCCAGAAACCGCCGCACTCCCAGCCATGCAGAAGATAATGTGTTGACTCATAGACCCCATATATCACTATAACAAGCAGCATTTTAAAAAGCCAATATGCAAAAACTATCCTAAGCAAGTTATCCATATAGTGAATTGGTCCCCTGAAAGCATACACAAATGAAGCCAAATGATCATATATAAAATAGACCACAGTCATACCCTCAAGAGGAAAAAAATTTTAAAAAGTAAAAATTCCATCTTCATGAAAATGGGACTTCTTTCATATCAAAAATAAGATATGAAAACTCCTTCAGATGAGACAGAATCAGTATAAAAACTCTGGTAATTCAAAAAACAAAGACTGTTGTGACACTTACACACAATAACACAGGATAACACGAACTTTCGAGCAATGGATCCTAACCAAAATGAAAAATCTTAAATAATAATAGGGAATTCAAAATATGGATTATAAGAAAGCTCAGTGAAATCCAGGATGAAACTGAAAACCAACACAAAAATAATTTAAAAATAATAATTCAAGATCTGAATGACACAGCTATATTAAAAAAAAAAACAGAACTTCTGGAAGTGAAAAAAAATTCTAAAGGAAGTTCAAAATACAGCTGAAAGCTATAGACTAGACAAAGCACAAGAATGAATTTTAGATCTAGAAGACCAGTCTTCAGAATTAATCCAATCAAATATAAATAAGGGGAAAAAAAAGTGAACAAAGCCTATGTAAAGAAAGGAAACCTAAGACTTATAAGCATTCCTAAGGACAAAAAAAAGTAACTAATTTAGAAAACATATTTGAGAGACTAATTCAGAGAAATTATGTGATCTTGCTAGGGAGATAGACATCCAGGTACAAGAAATTCAGAGAACATCTGTGAAATACTATACAGTGTGAACATAACCAAGGCAAACAGTCATCAGACTATCCAAGGTCAAGACCACCTATGAAAGAAATCCCATCAGACTAAAAGCAGACTTATCAGTAGAGCCATTACAAGCAAGAAGAGATTAGGGGCCTATGTTTAGCTTTCTTAAAGAAAATAATGCCAACCAAGGATTTCGTTTTCTGTCAAACTATGCTTCATAAATAAAGGAGAAATAAAGTCTTTCCCAAATGAGTGGAAATTTGTTATCACTACACCGTTTCTATAAGAAATGCTCAAAGGAGTCTAAACATAGATACAAAAGAACAATACTCACTACCAGAAAAAGACAATACTCACATGTAAGAACAAAGTTCATAGATCCTATAAAACAATTATACAATTAAGCCTACAAAGCAAATAGCTAACACGTCATAACAGAAACAAAACCTCACATATCAATATTAACCTTGAACAAAATGGCTTAAATGCTCCACTTAAAAGATGTAGATTGGCAAATTGGATTAAAAAAAAAAAAAAAGAATGACCCAATCGTCTGCTGCTTACAAGAGATCCATATAATGAGTAAAGACACCCACAGGCTCAAAGTAAAGGGTAGCAAAAGATACATCACACAAATGGAAAACAAAAAAAGATCAGGAGTCATTATTAATAAATACCCACTAGATCTAAGAAAAGCAATAAACTGCCATACAATAATAGTGAAGGATTTCAACACCCCACTGACTGCACTAGACAAATCAGCAAGGCAGAAAGCTAACAAAGAAACTCAGACATAAATAGGACTCTTGACCAAAAGGCGCTAATAGACATCTACAGAACATTCCACCCAGCAACTCCAGAATACACATTTTTCTCATCTATGCGTGGAACATTCTCTAAAATTGACCAAACACTTGGCCATAAAGCAAGTCTCAATAAATTCAAAACAATGAAATAATATCAAATATCTTCTCAGATCACAGTGTAATAAAATTAGAAATCAGTAGCAAGAAGAACTCTCAAAATTACACAAGGACCTGGAAACTAAACAACTTGCTCCTGAGTGACTTTTGAGTAAACAATGAAATTAAGGCAGACATCAAAAATATTTTGAAACAAATGACAATAGAGATACATCCCCAAATCTCTACCAGACTAGGAAAAAAATAAAATGAATTTCCTTAATGCCTTATATTTATTTATATATGAATGAATGAGAAGGCTATACGTCATATATAAAGATCTGATATGGCAACAATGTTAGAAAACAATATAGCACTGTCTTCAACATTCTGATGGAAGTATTAATATATTTTTAACCTAGACTCTAGTTAACTGTGAGGATAAAGTAAAACCTTCTTCAAACAGGCAAGTTCTGAAAAAAACAAAATCCTCCCATAGATTATGTCTAGGAACTACAGATAAATGTGATCTGACAAAACAGAGGAGTAAAGCAAGAAATAAGATATAAAACTAGGGCAGGGAAAGAATCCACCAAAGAAGAAAGGGATAGGAGACTCCCAACATTAAGATATAACAGAGTTTAAAGGCTGAGAGCTGAGCAACAAGCCTAGAAAACAATTCAGAACAGACCAAAAGGAAGAAGGATTTTGGGAGAAGCATCTCCATCTCTAGGAAAAAAAATAAAACAAATCTGACATGAATTTATTCCATTCTCCGTAGAGATACAATGTTTTTTAAGTCTTTTGTGTTTTTATGGATAAATTCAAATAGAAAAAAAAGTAAACTAAAAACTTTGAGATTAAGACGACAATGCCTCAATTAAGTACCACGTAAGAAAGGAAATATAACCATAGAACAGTAGCAAAATGTTCATAGATATAACAAACCCCAAATATTTCACAAAAATAAGATAAAATGATATAGCAATAATGAGGATGGGAAAACAAGATGTGTGTCCGGGTGTGGGAGTGAGGGGTTATATATTAGGTTGAGGAAATCCTAATTTTCCATAAAATGCTAGTTTTTCATAAAAAGAAATAGATTATTTTGTTTACTGAAGAATCATGAAATTAGAGAGTATGTTTTTTAGTGGGCTAATTGGAAAAGAATAAAATAAAAAACAAATAATAGTGTTGCAGTGATTGACTCTAGCATGAAGTGGAGTGGGGGACTGACAACAATTTGGTTGTAAGCATTATAGTATTATCTTCAATAACATAATGTTTTATTGTTAGAATAACAAATGGATTTAAAATAAAATGAGTGACTTCATATTTTTAAAATATATTTGAGAAAATGACTTCAGCATATTCTTATTAGGAAAAGTTTCCAGATAAACAAAATGTAATAATGTGTCCTTTAGTAGATATTTCTATTATGATTTATGTCATATGTGAGGCCATCAGAAACGGAGAGAATGGAATGGCCTGAATTTCCAAGCTATGATAAGGCAATACTCAATTATTGTGGAATAAATGAAATGCTAAAAGAATCTAATAATGAGGCTCCTCATGTCTTGATGAGAGAAATAGTTTTGGTTTGCAGGTTGGGCAGAGGTAGAGCCGACTATATGTTTGCCCAATTTTTTGTTACACTGAATCTCACCTACTCTTTGTATTTGGGCAAAACGCTCATGAAACCTGCCATGATGTGCTCTTTGTAGGGTAGCAGGTGGAGGGTAGAAGGTGGGAACAAAGAAAAAAAAACAGAGTTGACCAACCTGCAGAGGCACAGAAGGGTAAAATCTAGTTGGTTTATTTTACCTTTTAGAAACTGAAGTGAGAGTGGATAGGAGAGTGAAAATAGACCAAAACTCTTACTTTATTCCAATAAAATGTAAAAGAAAGATAAAATATTTTCAAAAGGAGTTTTACAAGATTGTACTGTTTTTATAAATTCTTCCTATAATATGTTCATATATAGAGAATATACTATTTAATCTCAAATTTACATCATGATAAACACATAAAATGTTACATTAAAATTTGCAGCTTTTATAACACATTTGATTAAAAGTAACAGATTCAAGTGCTTGTTACTTTGCCTCTTAAATAGGTCTTGGGGAAAAGAATTCATTAGAAATGTCACTGGAAAGAAACTGTTGATATATGCTACTGACTTCTGCCACCCATGCAATTGCTTATACAACATGGCAATAAAAACAAATAAAAGAACAAAATACAAAATACAAAGTCTGACAGTCTTTTAGGAAACTGGGAGCTAGAATGTGACATACATATGTCATAATAATTTTTCACAGTTTACAGAATAACAGTTTCCAATGTAGTTTCCCCAGTTGATTTTTCTTAATCCAAACTACAATAATAGAGTATTATTTTCCTAATGATATTTTCACATTTCTAAATGAAGAGAGTGTGGTTAAATGCAATTAAATGGTCTTCTCAAGACTGCTAAACTTATGATGTCAACCATCATAAGGTAAATCTAGTTATGATTTTAATTACATATAGCCTGTATTTTAATAAAGTCAACATGTCTGGCAAAACTTATTTAAAAGAAAATATGAAGGTGTTCCCTGTGAAATAAAAATTATCACTTAATATTTAAGTCATTTTCATATATAAAATATGCTTAAAATATTATTTCTGCTTCAATATGTCAAGTAATTATTATACATTTGAAATTTCATGAGCTATCACATTAGCTGAATTAGTGTCACACCTAAGTCACACATGAGAATCACCAAATACAATACATACAGTGCCCTAAAATGGGAAATTGATACAATTTTACTGTCATTAAAAAACATTTATCTGAAAATCTACTTCCAATATAACTATTACCAAAATTATTAATAATATAAACTATACTGAATTTAAATACCCTTGCAAAATTTGAAAATTTTGATAGGCCTAATAGGAAGCTGGTTTTTCCCTTTGTGAATTAAAAATTTCTCAATTTTTCATGTTGGAATAGACACACAAGGATAATGCTGAATCGATGTACTTTTTAAAGAATATAACGAACTGTATGACGTTACGGATTTTTATGACATTTGTAGAATGGTTTCATATTTTTAAGATAAATAGCCTAACAAGGTGCACTAAACCTCCCTTTGTTTCACATCAAATATGAGGGAAGAAAGCACAGCCAGACATAGCCATGATGGAGAGAAGAATCAAAGCACTTTTAACAATGTGAATTCCAGATTCACAAAGACCCAACAGAAGACTTTGTGGAAAAGCTGAAAGCCTGTGTTCGTTCACCTTTGCTTTTATAAGTCTCTGAGGAGATCTGTCTTGGATTGATTGAGTTTCAGAAAGCCCAGTGTGCTCGTGAGTGTTGTAAAACCAGATCCTCCCTGTCTCTTAGGATGTAACATATCCCTAAACCTTTGCTTGTGGTACTAGAGCCAAAGACAATTATTCAGAATCCTTCCGGGCTTCTGAAGGAAAAGGCTAGAGATAGATGACAAATAGCATGCTGCTGAAGTACAAATGTTGATGAACTGATAATGACTGAGACACCATGTCAAGAAGACTTCTTCAGTTCATTCTTCCCACAGCTGGAAAACATGCAGTTACCAATTAGGCATCATTTGTGTTGTTTATTTGCCAATTCTGAGCTATATTATTCTGAAACCTCAAATTTCTTAGAGGCCTTAATGGTTGTATGGGCTGTATCATAAAAGCGTAGCCATGTATAACATAATGTAAGGAAAACCAAAATTTTTCTCACTACTAAATTTCAATCATTCGGTAGTTCCACCATTTATGGTTTCATTAATTAGAAATATAAAGCTTCTATTATTATGTGATACTACCTAAGATGGTCAACATAGGAAGCACTGGAATTATTTTGATACTAAATTTGCTTTTCATATAATTTAGGCATCCTCTTAGCAGAATTCACTGGTAACAAGTCCATAAACTGCTTACTCTATATGCTATTCCACAGAGGGGTAAGATGAATGCAAAGTGTTCACTACAGATGAGAGCTGGGGAGCAATATGGGAAGAAGGGGATAACGTAAGGGAAGACCAACTGAAGATAATCTCTGGGATAAGCCACAAGAAACCTCCCCTCAAGTTTACCTCAAATACTTGGACTGACATCAATAGAACTCCACATTCTCTGGAAATCTTTTATCTCTCAAATAATCGATTGGGTTTTTATGCTATTTGATCACAATTTCCCACCATTGCGACTCCATATATCTCTAACACGTTTGTTCTTTTATCTCACTTGGACTTTGTTCTTTTGATCCCTAATCTGTCTCACTCTCACGTCTCTTTTCTTATTCTCCCTCCTTTTTCTATCTAATAATTATCACTTAAATGACTCAAGTTGCTAACATACTCAAATAATTTGCCCTTTTGCTCTTCCACTTCATTCATCTAGCAAAACCGCCCCTCTGGATTGAAATAACTGTTATTAATGATACAGTAAATAGCGGAGCAAGGGAAGTTCACAAGCAATGAAAACTTATAGTTTTTATGTCTCTGATTACATTTGGGATCCCAGCCTTGCCCTGCATTAACTCCTCCAATCTCTTAACTTTTAATTTGAGCATCTTTTTTTCCTTCCATCTGTGCCATCCCTTTCCTCAGAAGGAAATTTTTAAAAACACCAGATGAGAACCCACTCAACTTTCTGCCATCAAACCCATAATCGTACCCTTCTCTGAAAATCTTATTAGGGTTTTCTATGTATCTGGATGTTGATTAGTGAAGGAGACATTGGCTGGAAGGGGAATGACGTTGAATTTTCCCGCAGAGCCCATCTCGGCCATGTTACCACAATCATGGCTATAGCCCAGTCATGGTGCTGATGCTGGGAACATTTAATTTTTGTTTACAAACCACGTCAGAACCAAAACTATTCTGACAACTTCAATATTCTCCCCTCTGCAATGTGAGCAGAAGGGAAAGTAAGGGTTGCCATCAGTGGCTTGGGATGTACAAAACTCAACTAGTGGCTTCTTTTACCTGTGCTACACCTTCCATTACCTTTCACTTCCCAATTCATAACTAAGAATGTAGGGATATTCTTGAAAGGACCTTATCTCCTGGAGCTTCTGGTGGTGTTGAGTCCTTCTTGACTCCCCAGCTTTCATGAACTCGTTAGTCTGTTAACTGAAATCAACATTAGTCCTTAAATCATGCATTAGATATCTAAACTTTTTCATCCTACATATCTGCTATTTTTTATCCTTTGACCTACATTTGCCCTTTCTCTCTCGTTTCATTCTGTATCTCTGCATAGTTGAGCTTTTTGTGTTCTTATTCCACAGATTAGTGAGATCATGCAATGTATTTTTTCTGGCTTATTTTACTTGGCATAATGTCCTCCAGGTCTATCCATTCTGTGGCAAATGCAGGGTCTTCTTTTTAAAGGCTGAATAGTTATTCCATTTTATATATATACATACACACACACACACACACACAAACATACCACATTTTCTTTATCCATTCATTTATGGGTAGACACATGTTATTTCTATATCTTGGCTATTGTAAATAATGCTACAATGAACATGGGAGTGCAGGTATTTTTACAAGGTGGTGATTTTATCTCCTTTGGGTATATATCTAGAAGAAAAATTGTCAAGTCATATGGGAATTTGATTTTTAATTTCTTAAAGAATTATTGTGAAAAATGGTATGGAGTTTCCTAAATAAAATACAAATTAAATTTTATTTTTAATTCAGGTTTTATCAGAAAAAAAGTTGGCTTTTGTCTTTACGCTGTTAATCTTCTAAACCATATTGATGGTTTATTTGCATACAAATAACATAATTTAATTTATATTTGCTAATATGAAGTTTTTGTTAAAGCCAATTTCTACCATGTAATAGGATAGAGGGTAAATAAGTGCAAAATATGTGCCTGTATGTGGAAGCTGTTTCTTAGAAAAATTTAAAAATACAGGTTGCTGTAATCTAAATTAATTTTTACTTCTAGAAACAGAAAATGTCCTCTTTACTGATGGATTAATTATGCTTTAGTTATTAAAATATTCCTGCATTAAACTTTTTGTAACTCACCTCTAAAATTATTAAATACCTGAAATCAAAATTTATATAAACTAGTCACTAACTTATTTAATGGCTTCACACTTGACATGCTTGCCACTTATTTGGATTTCTAACCTAACTAAATTACCTTTCTCTAAGTTAATTCCTAAACTTAATTTTTAATGTGACCTGAAAATAAGTTTATGTATTTATAGAAATAAACAAAGTATACTGTATAAATTTGAACATTGATTTTTATGTACTATACATATTTGACCCATTTTTTTTTCCAAAGTGTCTTTGAAAACTCTGGGAATTTCTTGACATTGGCAATTTTAGCTGCTATTCACTTGGGTTCCTAATTATGTGGCATACAGATTCACATGAATCACAAAGCATCAAAAGGAATGTTTTATTACTATAGCTTCATGTATCAACTGACAAGTATTTGCTGTTAACTAATTCATTTTAAATCCCTGACAATAATCCACTGTTCTCATCTTTCCTTGTTATCTGTTTTTAGAAAAGGGCAAAAAGATGAAAGAAAAAAATAGAGGAATAAAACACATTCGTTATTTAAAACTATAACATTCAGAGTAAAAAAAATTATTATTTCAAATAATAGAAAAATTACCATTTTAATCATTGAATATTACATATGATGGATTTCTTTCTCTCTGGGTATGGGCATGTTATTTTGACTAACTTTACTGAAAGCTTTACTAATTTACTTTAAATTTTGTTTGAAACTGTAGCTCTACTTCTAGTGATCTTCCCATTTAATTTCTCTCCGTGAAAACTGGAGCTTATGAGAAAGTCTTCAGTTAGGATAATATTTGTTATATCAGAGACTGGAGGTATTAAAGCAGTAGAAAAAACATAAAAATCTGAATATGGGAAGAGAGTTTTTGTAAATTCTATTTCTAGTTGTTAAAATAAGTGTTAAATGCAGTACTTTTTGAATGCCTCTAATATTTACATTTTTTCTGTGATGCTGTAGCAATCAGATTTCCCCAGAAAAATAAACCCAATAAAACATCTATCTATCGGCCAGGCGTGGTGGCTCACGCCTGTAATCCCAGCACTTTGGGAGGCTGAGGAGGGCGGATCACGAGGTCAGGAGATCTAGACCATTCTGGCTAACATGATGAAACCCCATCTCTACTAAAAATACAAAAAATTAGCCGGGTGTGGTGGCGGGCGCCTGTAGTCCCAGCTACTCAGGAGGCTGAGGCAGGAGAACGGCGTGAACCCGGGAGGCGGAGCTTACCGTGAGCCGAGATTGTGCCACTGTACTCCAGCCTGGGCGACAGAGCCAGACTCCGTCTCAAAAAAAAAAAAAAAAAAACCTATCTATCTATGGTCTGTCTTGTATCTATCTACCTATCATTATCTAGCTATCTATGTCTATCTATATATAAAGAGATTTATTTCAGTAAATTGGCTCACATTATTCTGAAGACTGGCAAGCCTGAAATTTGTTTGCAATGTGCAGGCTGGAGGGCTGGAAAATCAGGCAGTAGTTGATGTTCTGGTCTTGAGGCAGACTTCTTATCAGGAACATCTCTGTTTTTGCTCTTAAGGCCTTTCAAATTATTAAATAACCCTCACCCATATCATTGAGAGCTATCCCCTATACTTAAAGTTAACTTATTAAAGATGTTAACCACAGGTACCTTCATGGCAACACCTAGATTAGTGTTTGAAATAGTTGAGAACTAACACTTGTCAATTTGACACATAAAACCAACCAACACAGAGGCCATGTATGTATGTATGTATAAGCAAGCCATAACAGCAAATATTTTAATAGACAAATTTTCTTTATTTTTTGTGATTTTTAGTAAAAAGTAATTTTTAAAGTATTTCTATATTTTTCATGGCATCACTATTATAAAAGGAGAAATTAAGAAATGTGAGCTGAGCTATACAAAATATTGAAATTTAATATTTATAAATATAAGTTGATCATTCTTATGACTAAGATATCTGAATTAAATTTTGTTTAGTACTCAACATATCTAATTGTCTCACTACTTGCTTTATTTGAAATATAATAATTTTGATAAATAGATACTGTATTTCCTAAAATTTAAAGAATTTATCTAGTAATTGACATATTCCTATAAACAGTTTCAAATTATTTTTCTCTTAATTCATATTTTAACAATTAAATCACTTAGGACTGGTATGTGTTGGCTTTCCTGATCTCTTTTTGCCTTTAAAATACTTCTGACATCTTATTTGTTCTCTCTACTGGGATTATAACCAAGAACTATCTTTTGATTATTTTCTAATCAAAATTGACCTTTTTATGTTAGAAAAATATTTTATTATCATTATTATTATTATTTAGATTTCTTTTTTCATTTTACAAATTCAATGATTCAGTCTATTCAAGACCTAAGTAACATTTTGGATGAATAAATATGGGGTTCATTACTTTGTTTCAGGCCATGAGAATGCTATAGCTATAATGCATAGAAGGGTTTAATATAGCCACATTATTGTAACGATCTAGATAATTAGGCATTCTCTAAAATTTGCAGCATTCTTATTTTACTGTTTCAGGTCATGAAAACTATTTTTAATTTATAATAATTTTAGAAATATTTTGCATTTTTAAATCTTTAGATATTTTGTTTAGGTGACTGTGCCCTTATCTCCCATTACTTTCAGGTAAAGATGCATTCATATTTAAAATTGCCAGTTCAAAATACCATGCATGCTATTTTGTTGGCATTGTAAAAGAAGGAATTTAGATTCATATATATATATATGTACACATTTCAGTTTACCATTCCATAAGTGCCTAAAGAGAGTACCAGGAGACGACCTTGGAATCTTAGGCATCTAGATAGGGAACGTGAAAAAGAAAATGAGTTTGAAATTGCAATGGCAAGATTGTGTGCTCTTAGCAATATTCTGAAACACAAAAAAGAAAGACACTTGTGATAAGCAATGAGGCAGATGGAGAAAGATTTCTGCTTTTATATATATCCAGAAATGGCAGCAGTTTATTAATTCTTGCTTGGGCTTTTAGATGAGTAAAGAGTACTTTAAAACAATATTTTCTTTTCCTACTTACAAATTGCTGCTTATAATATAATTAAATAAATTTAAAAATCACTCAAATATAACCTAACAAAGGAGTATTTCTTTTAAATCTTACATATAGAGGGCAGAACACTCTAAATTACTTTCTGTTATATTTTAAGCACTCCCTAAAGACTTAAATAATAGTTGATTGAGTGTTTTAGATATTAATGATTCATAGAAAACGTCTGCATTCTTCCCCTTAACAATTAAAATAACAGCATTAATCCTAAATTAAAACATGCTTTAATTTGGTTATTTGCCCCTAATATTTGTCCCTCTGTTTTTTTAATTTTAAATTGCAAATTATATTTTATGATATGAAATATACAATGATGCTATAAAAATATATCAATATCTATTAAATTTCCATCAAGACACTCACTTTAATTTCTGTGGAAATACTATGAGAGTTTTTAAATTAGGATTTATCTACCATTTGGGCAGAGAAAAGATATCTAGGCACACATAAATAATGAGTAGTGAATCACCGGGGAGTTCCCAAGAAATAGAGTCAGCAATTTTTTTGTTTTGTTCTGTTTTTTGAGACAGGGTCTCACTCTGTTACCCAGGCTAGAGTGCAGTGACACAATCACCGGTCACTACAGCCTCAACCTTCCAGGCTCAAACCATCCTCCCACCTCAGACTCCTGAGTAGCTGGGACTATAGTCATATGCCACCACATACAGCTAATTTTTTTTAAGAGATGGGATTTCATTATGTGGCCCAGGATAACATGGAATCAGAAATTTTAATAATGGTTTGTATTTTCTGTTGTCACAGGCATTGCCCTAAATGAATTTGAGTTGTCCCAAGTCAATATGTTTACCTATATAAGAGGATATGTTTGCAATCATAGCTGAGGTCAAGCATTCATTGTACAGCTTCCCTGTAAATTTTTACTGCTTATTACTGCTAAAATCACTAGCTGGAAAGAGGCAAGAAAATAAAATTTTTACAAAAGTCAGGTCAATTGAGGAGCTCCACTGCTAATAGCACCAACTTCAAGCAGATTTGTATATGAGCTTGTCCTGGAGGGAACAGTTTCTAATAAAATCTGACTCTACTTTTAAGTTTTCTACATTAGGCACTTTGAATGGATCCACACAACAAATTGAACACTAGGCAGCTTCACTGTTTTCTGATATGCAGTTTTGAATATTGTATATTACCCCAATTACACATCTAGAAGGATATAAAAACATATTGTGTGCACGCTTGGATTAACAATTAATTTAATGACATATGTTTGTGAATATACTTTTCTTTCATTTAACTTTTATGACTTAAGAGGAAACAATTCTTTGATAGTGATTTCTATACCACTTTAACATATTACCATAGTTGTTTTTTTTTTGTTGTTTTTTTTTTTGGCCTAAAACAACACACTATTATTATCTAACTTCTGTAGGTCAGAAATAGGAATGAAATTCTGCTGGTTTTTTGCACTGGGTCTCAGAGAGCCAAAATCAGTGTCAGTGAAGCTTTGCTCACCCTTTCTGGAGGCTCTGGGGAATTAACCAGTTTCCAAATTCACTCTGGTTGTTTGGAAGAATTCAGTTTCTGTAACTGAGGTTTTCATTTCTTTGCTGCCTCTCAGATGTGAGGGTTAATCTTCCCTCCTAGAGGTTAGGGGTATTTCTTCTCATGCTTTGAGGTGCCTGCGACACTCTTAGTAACGGCCCTTCTCACCCATGGTCTCCAGCAACAGCAAGTGGATTCCCTCTCAGACTTTGAATCTCTCCAACTTCCCTTTTGCTGCCTCTTTATGCCATCTTGTTCTTCAACTAGCTGTAGACAATACTCTGCTTGTTTTTTGTTTTTTTTTTTTTCTTTTTTTGAGATGGAGTCTCACTCTGTTGCCCAGGCTGGGCAGTGGCGTGATCTTGGCTCACTGCAACCTCCACCCCCCGGGTTCAAGCAATTCTCCTGCCTCAGCCTCCTGAGTGGCTGGGATTACAGGCACCTGCCACTGCACCGGGCTAATTTTTGTATTTTTATTAGAGATGGGGTTTCACCATCTTGGCCAGGCTGGTCTTGAACTCCTGACCTCATGATCCACCAGCCTCGCCTTCCCAAAATTATCTGCTTTTAGAGGCTGATTAGATTAGATTAGATTGGGTGATTAGATCAGTGACACCTGGATAATTCAGGTCACCTTTCCCTATTTTAAGGTCCATGACATTAATTATATCAGCAAAATTCCTTTTACCACATTGGGTAACATTCACAAATTTTCAGGGCAAGAACGTTGTACCTTTTGAAGGGTCTACTATTCTGTCTACCAGAACTGCTAATCCACAGGAATTGGTTTACCTTTTCCTTTACCTTAGCATCTGATTTTTTGGGGTCACATTTTTTGAAATATGAACACAACACTTAATGTTATATAATATAGTTATTGTCAATTGAAGAAATACATTGATTTTTTTCTATCTTAATTACAGAAAAAGTAGCATGATCAATGTTTTACTTAAAAAATATTGAATCAGAGGTTTTAAAAGTATCTGATATCTACCCAAAGTTATGTTTCTCATTTTAAGAAAATCAGTAAATTGAATATTAAAATAAGAGACAGATTTTCCAGTCCATTTTTTTTCTGCATTCCCCCCCCGCAACTCCCCAAAAATATACAGGATCTGAAATTCCATGATATCATGTTCATTTTACATCCCCAACAATGAGACTTTGTATTGATGCTGGCTGAAATCGATGAATGTGTGACAGAATATTCTTTCCATCCTTAATTAATATTAAATGGGCTTTGCATTTAAATAGTCAGTTTCTATTTCGCATTCATTTCCTCAAAGAACTTAACATTCTTAGGCAGGAAAAAAAGTGGTAATTTGTACCTTTCAATATGTTCTTTCCCCTCTATGCCTTAAACATTATCTGTAGTTCCATTACATGGTATAAGTATTGCAACAAAAAGTGTCTTGACTGTTCATCACTCCAAGCATATTCTTTAGAAATAATATATTTTCAGTCCTGAAAGTGCTTGCTTACATTTAGTTCATTAAAGTTTATTATTTCCTAAAATGCATGAAGTAAAAAATATATTTCTGTTCATGTTTTAGATTTTCTATTAATTTTACTCTGCTGTTCATTTTTTCCCATTTTCATAAACTAAGTAAACATAGTAAACTCTCCATAGTTTTTAAAGCATGAAATTCTTTCTGACATAAGCAGGAAATTACTTCAGTTTAATGATGAGGCAGAAATCCAACTGATTACAACAGTATCATTTACTGATTTTAACAGTGAGAAATTCTGTGTTGCTATTTTGGGAATTTAATTTCTTTGCAGTCTGTCCCTTCAGCACCCAGGACATTTCTGGAATGATGGATATTCTATGAGGAAGGCAATGTCAAGCCTACAGACATGCCTGAACACACTGTGGAAATTTATGGCCTGCTTTCTTGGTGCTAATGTAATGAGCTGCATCATAGTTAAGGTTCAAGAAGAGAAGCTGTCATTTCAGTATCTTGACATACATCAGTGTTAGAAAAATTAACCATTTTCAAACAGATAAAAGCCATGCGCGTATTTTCCTCTATGTTGTTATATATAAATATAAGTGCAATTAAACTAATCATGGAAATGAATTATTTTCTAGGACATTTACACTTAAAACTGATGATAAAATGTTTAGGAAAATCAAGATCTAAGGGAGCATTGACATTTTTTATAACAACTGGATATGGAATTTAAATTTCAATATTTTTATGCAATAAAGTATTAGTAATATCCTAAAGTTTTACATACACACACACACACACACACACACATACACACACATTTATTGTCAGACAGAATGAGAAGATTCTGTTTGGAATTATTTTTCTAGAACAGAATAAAGATTTAAGCCAGGAAAACATATTGACAAGTTATTTAGTGTGCTATATTTTTTAAAGAAATATAGCAAAAGTCTTTTCTATGGAGCTCTCTTTGAAAAGTCTCTCTAATGCTATAATACTTACCATGTTTAATGCTTTCTAAAGTTAAACATGTGGTGACAAATAAATGTATTCCTTTATCAGCCCAAGTACAAAACTTTTATGTATGTTTCAAGCCAATTGTCATTTTTTAAATCTCCAGTTAAAAATTTTAATTATCAGTAACAAATGTGGACATGCAATTATATTCCATAGCTGGTATGTTTAAGCAGGTCTAACTCTTTTCACCCCAAGCTAAGTATCTCAGTTGGTACATCACTGTCTTGAGTTTTTAGTACAAAGTGGGTTTCTGTTAAAAATAACTATAGTTATAACATCAAAAAAAACTTGAGATAAATAGAAATTTTAGTTCATGATTTTTTCAAGAGTACAAACATAATTCAAATATAATTGCTACTTTAAAATTTCACTCATGTCAGAGTATAAGCAATCACAAATACAGAAAACAACAGTTATTTGTTGAACATGTAGTGAAGACTTTGATGAACAGGATTCCTTTCATGTAGTGGGCCACATGAAGAAATTCACATTAACATGAAATTTTGACTTTGCATATGGATGCATATTTTTTCACAGCTTTTGAAGTCTACAGGGATTCCATCACTTTCTTCCCAGAATGTTCTCCATGAGATAATTGTGTGCCGTTTTGAGATGGGAGAGTTCCCTGAACCCCTTTGCTTTTTTGCAACAGGGATGTGGATGGCTTACTCCACCATTATGCTCAAACACTTTGCAGGAGGGACAGCACACAGATGAGTGGGTGCCGGGGCCGGGGCAAGCGCTTTTGGGCTCTGGCCCCATGGTAGTGTCTAGGGGTGTGTTAGAACTAATGCTCTTTTAGCAGTAGCCATATGCAAATGACTTAAGTGTTCACCAGCTCAGTGGTGAGCTGGGTGACAGCGTTTTACACCCTGCCCTCTTGGTACCCTGGTCCTTGTCTGACATCCAGGAAGAATCAAATCAGATGGACTTGAGGGATGATGAATGTGGAGGTTTTATTGAGTGATGAAGGTGGCTCTCAGTTGGATGAGGAGCTGGAAAGGGGATGAAGTGGGAAGATAATCATCCCCTGAAGCCAAACCATCTCCAGTTGGCTCCTCTCCAAAGTCATGCCATCTGAAATTAAGCCAAGTCTATCCACAGTCTCTGACACTCAGTTGCCTCTTCCCCACTCGACATTCAGCCTCTTGGCCCTCTGCCAGCTGAGGTCTGGGGTTTATATGGGCACAGGATAGAGGGGCAGGGCAGGCCAAAAGCAATATTTGGGTGGGAAAACAGGGATGTGAAATTCTCATTTAGGGCCGTGGGCCCCAGCTTGAGAGCAGAGACCTCACCAGGGACCCTGCACTCTTCTACCCCACATTTCCTGGCCTCCTGTCTGTATCAATTTCAATTAAAATCTAATTTAGTTTCCTTCTACTTTCAAAAGCCACTTTAAAGTATAAGTACAATTTCTTATGTTACTAAGGGAAATCACTATGTGGATGAATACAGTTACATTCACTTAACATTCTAAATGTACAATACATCTAATCTCCTCAGCCCCTCAGGTTTAAAAAATATATATACAGTTTTCAATGATGAAATTGAACAATTCACTTTGCAGATTAGGTTTTGTTTTAATCTTGTTGACTGCAACACCTTCCTGCTGGTCACTGTTATTACGTTGTCTATTTATCCCTGTTCTTCACTTCTCTGTATGCCAAACAGAAGCCTAAAGGAAAGGTCTTTTATGAGTTAACTCTCCTCTGGTAACAGAATATATCAAAAGGAAAACTGGAATCAAGGAGAAAACATTACAAAGATATTGACCATTCATCACCTTAATTGAAAATACTCCTTTCTAATAAGAAATTGAAAGCTTAGTCTCCCAACAAATTATTTTCAAAAATACAGCTAATTTTTCAGTGACCTAATCAAAATCTTATGTAGTAAACCTTTCTGCATTGAGCCTATATATATGTGCTATCTGTCCTAGACAAAGTTATGAAGAAGGCAAAAGTCATTTAATGTTAGTCTCCCAGGTTCTGCTCTTTAAAATTTAGATTCACCAAATATTTGGATTATCATGGATAGAGAGACATACAAACTCTCTAAACACAATATAGTTAACCTGTGCCCTGGTCACTTAAGCCAATGACTTGAAATTGATTGTTTCAAAAATTCTCTATTATCAGAATTTCTGCCTTAGAACATTGTATGGAAAAGGTCCCTTAGTGACTTAGCTATTATTTTTACTATTTTCTGAAAAATACTGCAGAACTCTGAAAGCTAGAAGTTGGCTTTTTGTCAACTTTTAAAAATTCTATTTACAAAACTATGGTAAAGGAAAATATTTTAGCAGCATGTGACACAGTATGCTTTGCTACACATGACATTTTACTTGAAGATGCAAAGTTCCATGCATATCCTACTAAGTAACAAAAGGACCTAGGTCAATTATATATTGCCTTGATTGGTTAAATTTTAGGTAACCAGCTACAGATTTGTTTTAATATTCTCTAGCTTATTTTAGACATCTTATATGGGGAAATACATGTAAAATAAATAAGTACGTAGACTTTCCTTTAGGATTTATTTTTTATGTTGGAAAATTAGTAAATAAAAATCTCTAAATTAAATATTTTTCAAGTGGTAAAAGGTCATTTGCTGCCTAATTGGATTTTCTCAAATATGTATATGTATACATATATTTAACATATATATGTATACAGAATTTTGAACAAATTTACTATAGAACATTTGAACCTATTTCCTACTGAAGTATTCCAGATTATGAGAAATTCTGTAGATAATTTCAAGAACATCATTTAGAATGAAATACAATGAACATTCTCTCATATGAGTGTTCTTAATCTAAGTGTCAGAATGTTATATTACTAATAGAATGTCTAACTTAAGTTTAACTTTTAATATTAAAGAAAGAAATCATAAACTTAAAATGTATCAAGACATTGGTCTTCTAATGGATAATGAAGACTATTAGTAGAATAGTTTAGGTCATAAATTTTACTTTCTCTAAACTCTAAAGACAATGGAGACATTAGTGACAATTTGCTTAAATTAACCTGGTCTTGCTTGCTTTGTTTTGTTCAAGTGAAACATACCATTTTACTGTAAAATATTTGGGTTAATTTGGTTACTTTTTAAAATTGAGCAATGCTCAACTGCCACTAAAATAAAAAATGTTTTTTGGTATGCCACTATAATCAGAAGTAATCACAGTAAAATACCATACTGAGACACATAATTTCCTTCCAAATTTGACAGGAACTTTAAAACTAAGATGAGAGAAGAAACTTTCATGAATAAAGTGCTTCAGATATCTCGCTGATAGAGCATATTTCAGAAAAGCAGACCAGGAAAGCTTGTTGTGCTTAACCTTGATGGATCAAGGACATCATGGAACCAGACTGCTTGGATTCAAGTTCCAGCTCCATCACAGGCTTACATCAGAGCTTTAGGAAGTTGCTTAACATTTCTGTAGTTCAATTTTCTCATCAGTGAAATATAGATAAATAATAGAAATATCTGCCCCATAATCTCATTGTAGGGATTAAATGACAATAAACAGTGGTTAGAACGGTGTCTGACTAGAAGATAAGGTTCTGTAAATTGTTATATGCTTAATCTTCCCAAACATCATTTCCTAGATATGACTAAAACTCAAGTCAATTTATTTTATTTTCAGCAAATACAACTAAATATGACTCACTCAGATATCCTTACAGAAATTTCATAATGGCTCTTACCATTATTTCCATAAGATTCTGCTACTAACAATGAAATTCTTATTGAAATTGAGGAACTAGGAGAACACAAGAGGAGAAATCGGCTATTACATGTACTTAGGATCCTTTAGGCAATGAAAATTAATTAATAATAATTCTTATTAACTATAAAAACTGAAAATAATTTTTCAGCTTTAAATGTAATAATGCTAAAATTAATGGTAAAATTTATTAAAGGACATGTGTACTATACTGATAAATATAGTTTTAAAGTGGACTTTTATACATGCTTAACTTTATTTCATATTTTATTTTATCTTTTTATTCTCTTAGTCTAGAACTCTGAATTAAAAGCCTGAATTAAAGTCAAGTGTTAATAATATCAAATAAGATAAAACCAACAAAAAGTTAATGCCCTATATAAATGAATATTACTGATAGGGTTGCTAAATTGAAATACCTGTGTAATAATAAAATTTTGCAGTTATATTGTCCTTTCATCATCTCATGTGTTTTACAAATTACTTAACTGTCTACGTGGGTGTTACATTATGTCTCACTACAATGGGTTTTCCCTTAAGCAAAACAACAGTTCTGCAACAGGACAGTGACCTCATACATAGTTAAATGTAGCAAATTAAAGTTCTTTCCTTCTTTTGAAAATTTCTGGCGAACTTACATGCATAAAATGCCACTATGAAAATAATATTAGACAAAAAAGAAAATAATATTACACACACACACACACACACACACACACACACACATGCCATCTCAAAAGTTTCCTGGTTTATGTAATTGATAAAGTTAAGAAGCTGTACTTTTCAAAATCTTTTAAGTGGGATCACTGATCACAGATAATTTGTTGTTTGTCATTACATCTGTTCAATCAATTTAGTTTGGAGGGACTCCTCTAATACTTACAGATGGTCTGCTCTAACAGTTTCTATGAATTTTTTAGGTACTGCAGGGACTTGAGTTCACCAGCAATTCTCTGCTCTCCTTAGTGTGTGCTGTCAAGAGCCACTGTCAGATTATAAGGGTGACTGTAATTAAGTTGTCAACATGTATCTGTAACTCTGGCATTTTCCTAACCTCTCAACATATACATGATGCCATAATCTGGTTTAAAATTCATTGTTTTTATGTAGAATTAGTCGTGTACTGCTATGTCTTCTGAAGTGTAATCATATCCCTGACTTCAAAGAGTTTACCATTTTTCGGGGCAGGGAAGCAAAATCTTTTCCTTTGACTCCTCTTTTACCTTATATTTCTAGCCCTGTAATCTACTCAAATCTACTTACATAGACTATTTTATTTTATTGTATGCAGTGTTACAATTATTATTAAAGCTCCCCAAATAATGCTATGAATAAACCAGCATTCTCATACCCTGCTGATAGAATATAGTAAATATTCTATGGCAAGTTTTTAGAAATCTTTATCAACATTATAAAATTATAAGTGCCATTCTCTTGGACCTAGCAATTTCATGTCTAAATAAATTTATATAGACATACCCACACACACAAACACACACACACATATATATATACACATACATACACACATGTATATATATTTTCTCACATGAAAAATGCATAAAATTGTTTACTGTATTATTTTCTTGTAAAAATGTAGAAAAGATTAAGAATTTTTAAATAAATTACTGTGTGTGTGTGTGTAAATGGATATTTGCTTAAATATGTATAGTTCTACAAAGGATACACAAGAAACTATTACGTTGTTTGCCTTCTGGGATGTGAATTGGCTATCAAATAGGCAGGAATGGAGATTTTCTAAACCTTTTGAAATTCAAATTATAGGAATTGTTTGCCTTAAAAACAATAGGGGAAGGGGTCTTGAAAATTAAATTCTTAACCTTCCTCTTAGCGTCACTACCAATTTTCTCATTCAATTAATACTTGTTTAGCCCTTAACAGATACAGTGGCAAATCAAACACTAATACATTTGCTTAAAATGCAGCACTAAGGCCCCAAATTTATATGCATCACATCTTTATTATTTAAGATTCAATATATTTAAAACTGAAGACATTGATTATACGTCTGTGTAGCTCCTCATCATGATTTTTATATTTGTACTACTATTTTGGAACTAAATAAACAATAAATTTTGACAATTAAATAAAATTTAAATAACACCTAGTTATAAAAACATTTTTAAAATTGAGGCCAGTTTTATTTTCTTGGAGCCAGCAAAGAGAACACAAAATAAAAGACTGGGCTTCTTTTGGGTGTGAGTAGAACATTGTTTTATAAATTATTTTCTCCAAATATTTATTTTAAGTTTTTAATATTTTGATTATGGTTCTGGCTAGAACTTCCATTTTAAACTGATTTTAGGAACCACTGGAAGTCACTGAATGACATTTTAAGAACAGGAATCCAACTTACAAAAATAAGAGTATTAAAATTCTACAATTGGAAAATTTTAAATAATTTAAATTAGGTAGGAAACTATATCAATAATTATTGACCACACACACATTGAAATTGCTCTGATCTGAATGTGTCTCCCCAAAATCTGCATGTTCAAATCTAGTTACCAATGTGATGAAGTTGGAGATGGGGCCTGTGGAAACTGAATTGGTCATAAGAGCACAGCACTCCTCAATGAGATTAGTGCCCTTATAAGGGAGGATCCAGAGAACTGCCTGGCTCCTTTCACCATGTAAGGATACAGCTAGGAGACTTCATCTATCAACCACGGGACAGGCCCTTACTAGACACCAAATCTGCTGGTGCCATGGTTTTGGACTTCCCAGCCTCTGCAACTGTCAGAAATAAATTTCCCTTGTTTATAAGCTACCTAGTTAATGGTATTCTGCTATAGCCAACCAAGAGAACTAAGAAATTATTGTTTACCTGCAGTAAAATAATTACAGAAGGCATTACAGTGTTCCTTTCCTCCATAGAGATTAAAACATACTGCATTTTATGACCCTTAATAAGTGTGGATGTACCTTTTGACAGATATTGTATCTTAATTTTTCATATATTCTGTCCCTTGTTATTCATAAAAATTCCTCCCTAAAATTTCAGTTAATATATGCATATGATTTAGTATTGTTTCAGTCTTCTTTTTATGCCCAAAGTCACTTACTGTAGAAAACAAGTGGTACAGTTCATTTGTAGCTATGAAAAATGTGCCCCTAACAATGCCAATTTAAAGTACTTGACAAATTTATTAAAATTGCAACCAAAGCAATCAGCTGGCCAATTTTTTAAAATATGTAATAGTTAAATATAACTCACCTCCTTTAGTAAGCAAAAGATATTGGTGCTGGTGGAAGGGGGCAAAATAGCTGGATATCCTACATGTATGAGGAAGAAGAAACATAATTAAACTTAGATTGTGGATGATTTTGTTGTATAACTTAGCTACTATTAGACAGATAGCAATTTTTTAAAATTTCCCCATGTTCTAACTTTCTATGGGCCTTGTGATTTTGGAAATTTAATGAAAAAATAGGGAAAGTGACGACATTTGTTACATATATATATTTATGTATATATAAATATATATATATATACAAAAATATATATATATTTATATATACCAGTATATACCAGTCACTGGGCCCAAAAGTTATGTATTGCCATATATGTTTTATTACTTAATTTTAGGAAGTAACTGATCTCATTCTTTTATTCATTCAGTCAACAACTATTTCAGAGTACCTGCTCCTATGTATGAAGAGTGTAGAGGTAAACAGAACAAATGAACAAGGAAATCCATGTCTTCACAAGCTTACCATCTGGTAGTAAAATAATGGTAATAAACGTCTTCGATAAATCAATGAATCATATATACAGTATTTTATCAGGTAAACATATCTATGAAAAATATAGCAGGGTAAGGATATAAGTAAGCCTAACTAAGGGTGTCAATTTTTAATAACATGGTCAGAGTTGACCTCACTAGAAGAACCATTTAAAGCAGCAGGAGAGGAAGCCTTGCAGCTATTTGGGGGAAGAGAGTTTCAGTCACAGAGATGGAAAGCCAAGCTCTGTCGACCTAATGGACAGCATGCTGACCATAGTTAATAATAATGTACTCTATAGTTGAAATTTGCTAAGAGACTAGATAGATCTCATGTGTTCTCACCACAAATTTTAAAAAAAGATAGCAATATAAAAATAAATGTCAGGACAATGATGAAGAAACAACAAAGGAGTAAGGAGAAAATGAAGAAACAATGAAGTAGGAAGAAATCAACACAAATTAGTGTCCACAAAGGTAAAGGAAGAAAATTGTTCAAAGAGGAAGAATGATTACCAGGTACAAGTGGTTGTGAAATGCTAAGTATATAGTGGATTAAGAATTGACAAAGGAATTTCACAATATGGATGTCATTAATGACCTTGACAGAAGCAGTATCATTAATTAAAAAAAAAATAAAAGTAAGGCCAGGAGCAGTGGCTCACATCCATAATCCCAGTGTTTTGGGAGGCAGAGGTGGGAGGGTCACTTGTAGCCAGGAGTTTGAGGCCAACCTGGACATCATAGCAAGTCTCTACAAAAAAAAAAAAAACATAAAAATTAAAAATTAGGCTAGTGTCTGTGGCTCATGTTTCTAAGTCCAGCACTTTGGAAGGCCAAGGTAAGAGGATCACTTGAGTCCAGGAGATCAAGACCATCTTGGGCAACATAGTAAGACCCCATCTCTACAAAACATTTAAAAAATTAGCTGAGTGTGGTGGTGGCTGGCTGTAGTCCCAGCCACTGAGGAGACTGGGGTGGGAGGATTGCTTGCCTGCAGCAAGCAGGGCTTGCTCTGTCACCCAGGTGGGAATGTAGTGGTGCAATCAGGGCTCACTGCAGCATCAACCCCAATGCCTGAGTGAGCCCCAATCGCAGCAGAACATTCCTGTCTGGGTGACAGAGAAAGACATTATCTCTAAAAAATAAAAAAAATTAAAAAATGAGAAAATAAACAATGAAAAATTATCTGGGTGAGGTGACACATGCCTATGGTCCCACGTACTTGGAAGTCTAACGCAGGAGAATGGCTTGAGCCCTGGGGTCAGAGGCTCCAGTGAGTTACGATTGTGCCACTGCACTCCAGCCTGGTAGACAGAGCAAGATCCTGTTTCTGGAAAAATAAAATGGAGGTAAAAATCTGACTGAGGTAGAATTCAGAAATAGAGATGGGGTATGTCAAAGGGAATGGGTAACAGAAAATTCTTTCACGGTGTTGCTCTGGCAGTGGAATAAGGAACCAATGTAGTAGTTAGTGAGATGAGTGGGACATGAGAAGGTTTTCTAAGATGGAAGGAATTACAGCCTATATTTATGCTAGTGGAATTATCTAGTAGAGAGAAAAAATAGATGATACAATACAGAGAGAAGTGCTGCTGTCTATATGTACGCTAGAAGAGATGGGATATAATGCAGAGTTGCATGTGTCTGTGTGGGTTAGGGATCAGCCTGAAGTATGAGGGCAGACCATCTGTAGCAGTAGGAGAGAATGCAAAGTATATATTGTTAAGAGTTAATATGGGATATATTTGCATTCTCAGTGAAATACTTACAGTCGTTAACTGAGACTGAGAATTGGAGAAAAGGGTTATAAATAATGGCCTAGGACAATGAGAAAGCACATGAAATAGAGTATAACTGCTGCTCTGTACTCAGAGACAATATGAGGTTCATTTATAAGAATTTAAATTAAGACTTGTCAGCAGTCCTGTGATTTTTTTTTTTCCTCCAGCCACTGTCAGCAAGTATAGCCTAGATAGAGAATTAGGTTAAGTCCAAGTCATGACTTCACCACACAAACAAGCTGAGGGGCATTGAGGAAGAATAAAGGGGTGGGGGAGTGGGGGGTAATTATAAACCCTGACCAGAGAATTTAACTGCGATAAGAAGAAAAAGAATGTATAAGTGGGAATGAAGGACAGTGAAATACTGGTAGAATCAGTGAAGTTTAATCCTAGTCGGGTAAAAGATTTGTTGGAATATTTAAACTTGCCACACTTCTCTCTTGATGTAACAAAGACTAAGAAGAGGCAAATTCAATGAAATATGGGTTGTAATAAATACAAGTTTAATTTATCACATACTATCTTGAGTTTTCCAATATTAACTCATCAATCGGCAATCATCCCAGTAGAATCTTAGTACTTCTTCAAGGGTGATTGGGAGGAAGGTGGGGATGGATAATAGATACAAAAAACAGTTAGAAAGAATAAATAAGACCTATTTGATACCACAACAGAGGTGACTATCGTCAATAACAATTTAATTGTACATTTTAGATTGACAAAAAGTATATAATTGGATTGTTTGTAACAAAAAGGATAAATGTTTGAGAATGGATACCCCATTCTCCATCATATGATTATTACACATTGTATGCCTGTATTAAAACATCTCATGTACCCTATAAGTATATGTAAAAATACATCTACTATGTAAACGTACACCTATGTCCCCACAAAAAAATAAAAATTAAAAAAGTATACAAACACTTGGAAACTAAAAGTCTCACACTTTTCCTTGTCACAGGCAAAGTATTCACAAATTATATATTCATGAATATCATTTTCTTTCTCATATATTTTTTGTTTACTTTTTTATAATCAGAAGAAATTCAATGGTTCAAGCTCCTTCACCCCAATACTGTATTTCCATTGATTTCAAACGGGCCATAAAAAGGACAATATTATAAGTTGCTGAGGAACTTTCTCATTCTTCCCAACATCACCATCAATTTTTCCTGCTCAAAATCATAAAACCTGTTATTCACTTTTAAAATAGTTCAGTTGAATATTCTCATAAGATTATAATTTTATAGTTAAGTATATAGAAAATGATGTACAGAAAGTTTTTTTTTTAAACAAGTAAATGGCTGATCTGAGATTCAAAGCTAAGTCTGGAAATTGTTTCCACCACACTCTACTGAAAATAAACAATCATAGCTTTTTAGAATATTTTATATTTCATATTGTTTAAAAAAGAATACAGACTAAATTGTTTTCATTTGTGGCTTAAAATTAAAATGGAAAAATTTTGACCCACTTCTATTTATATCTGTTTAGGATGTTATTTTTATTTGCTTTGATTTTGATAAGCCCTGAATGTTTCCAGGAGTTTTCAAAGTGAACCTGATGTCCTGACAATGATTAATCTTGGGATTGGAAAATTCTCATTACCAGTCAGCTCATTCTGTTACCTAGATATTTCAGTCTAAAAAAAAAGTAGGCCAGTTGTTCATTTCTGTGTCTTAGCCTTTCTCTACTTTTTTTCCTCTGTGTTTGTGTGTTTGTTCGTGAGAGTGTGTGCGTCCTCACATTATCGTGTGTGCGTCCTCACATTATCACGTGTGTTGATCTCAGTATTTGAATCAAAAAACGATGAAACAGGAAAATGTTTAGAATCTACAGCCTGCCAGTAGGTCAAGCAGAATTGAAGCAATGTGTTAAAGGATGTCAGCTGTAGTCTCAGTTTGGTGATAGTTATGTCCAGTCCAGTTCATATGATTAATTCTATTCTCTTGCTATGCCTACTAAACACTTTAGAGAAGCAAAATGTCATTTTTTTCTTCAAGAATAAAATGTAATCTCAAGTACATTGTATTCTAATGAGTTAAATTATAAATTTAATATTTTGCAAAGCATTACAATAGAATAATGGCTGTTTTAAACCTTCGGAGATATATACTAATAAAAGAAAATATATCTAATGTATTAAAATGGTTGCTTTTGAGGTAAGGTAAGTAGGAGTAAGGAAGGGGATGCTGTGAGATGATTATTTGTATGTATATATGTATTTATATACATATAAATGAAGATGAAAATAAAAGCTTGACTAGGATCAGAAATAACGGTGAATCCTGAAAAGAAGCATGTAAGTAAATAAAATTTCTGCATATAGGATGAAAATAAAACCTTATCATAGTGTTAATTTGTGGTATAATTGTATTAATGATAATCGTCAAACTATACGAAATTGTTGTATTTCTAGGCTTAAAAAGTAACATATTGGCAACTCCATGTTGTTTAAACTTATACTAATATGAGTAACTCATATTTACCTGTGACATCACTCATAGGACATTTCATGCCACCCTTACAAAAACATTATTACATAATCAGGAATTACCCATGATACAGATAAATTAAATTGTCACTCAGAGAATTTAATTATGTTGCTCAAGGTTAGAGAGGTATTACACATCAAAGCTAGATTTCTGGAGTCTTAAACTAATCTGCTTTCTAGTATAAACCATATAAAAGGTGGTCATGGGCTTTTAGTCTCATCCTGGTTCTGCTGGTAATAAGGAAAATTCTTTAGATTACAATATCTTTATCTACAAAATGAAAAGGTTGGATATATAATATGATTTATAACTCATCAAATATGTCAAAGATCTCTAATTTTATTTTTGTCTTTTTAATAAAGGCCTCGTGATTATTATTATTGCATTTACACTGAAGTATGAATATAGTTCCTCACTCATTACATTACTATTAAACAGACTGGGTCACTGAGATCTTGGCTAAACCTTAATCTCTCATACTGTTCAATATAACTTTTTAGTAAAGATTTGCTTATGATGAAAAAGTCAGGGGACCACCCAACAGTGACCTCTGATGTTACTACCATTTCCTTTATTGAATGGTCTTGGTCATTAACCTATAGCAGCGGCATTCACATATGTATTGGTAGTAAAGCCTTGATTTCTTTCCAATAAAATTTTATGCAGAATCTAATGTAAAACAGACTTGCATAAGGATGAGGTCTTATTGCAGTAGTTGCAAATGAACCTGAGAAATTGCTCTTGTTTAACTCCATATAAAATTTCCAGAAATCCTGAGGCTCCAGAAGATGTCAATCAAAAACATTGTCCGATATTTGTATATTCTATTGCCATCTATGTGTAAGAATACTAACTGAATTCTCCATTGTATTTTCCTTCCGTATATATGGAAGACTTTTTTCTTAAATTTTAGGATGCAACATTAAGTTAACTGGCTAACAGAAAATGGAGATTATTTCCAAAATAGTTCTATGTTTCTTCACCTATAATAAACAATTTTTTAAATCATAAGACCTTATACATGAATATTTTGATTCTGTGAGTTGAATAAAATTAGACAAATGTCAAACAAATATTTACTGCATCTGATCGTCACTCAGTATATTTAATTCTCTAAAAATGTATCATAAAATATCTGCTTCAGACAAAGTATCTGTTGATTTAATTGACATTTCATATACAGACATCAAAGAGTTTGAAATTCTTGGCCGGGTGCGGTGGCTTACGCCTGTGAACCCAGCACTTCGGGAGGCCAAGGTGGGTGGATCACCTGAGGTCAGGAGTTTGAGACCAGCCTGACCAACATGGAGAAACTCCGTCTCTGCTAAAAATACAAAAAATTAGTCGGGCGTAGTGGCGCATGCCTGTAATCCCAGCTACTCGGGAAGCTAAGGTAGGAGCCCGAGGCAGAGGTTGCCATGAGCCGAGATCGCGCCATTGCACTCCAGTCTGAGCAACAAGAGTGAAACTCCAACTCAAAAAAAAAAAAAAAAAAGGAATTCTTATATGATATTTGTTACTGTCCCACATATGGTGGACACTTCTTGCAGTGAACGCTGACACCAACATAGAAACATAAGGAAGACATCCTATACTTACTATCCATTATTGCAGCAATGCCCTAAGGGAAGCAAAAAACTTTCAGCATTGAATATAAAAAGAAACATTTTCACAAAGCACAAATGTTTGTCGTATACTCAAAGAATGCAGAGATTCAAGGTTAATTATGTTTTCAATAAACTGTTTTATTTTGTTAGGAAACGTTTCTTCTTATTCTAAAAGTGTTTTTCCTAGCATCTTTCAACATATTGGAACACATAAGTCGTTTTAACGCTTCTGTATCATCTAATGAACCAATTTGGAAATAAAATTAAATTATGAAAGAAGATACTACTAAAATAAGCATTTTTAAATACAACTGTTATCCAATGAAAAACACTCTAGACCACCCACTTTCTCTCATCTTAAACTTTTATTTTTGTAGTAGCTGAATTATCATATGTATCTGGGACTATTCTGTCTCATTCAATTTCACTAACATGCTTGCCTTATTTATTAGCAAATAGTTCTTACATGTCGATTTAGAGCAGAAAACTTTTATTCTGTAAATGGCCACACAGTAAATATGTTTAAAAACAAACAGGCAATAGACTGGATTTTGTTCACAGAACATAGTCTACTGACTGCTACTTACAGAGAATCCTTTAAAATTTATTTTATATTAATATTTTATTAATTTATCTATTTATTCAGAGATGCAGAAAGTTAAAGGAAAAAATATGATAAGGAAAAGTCAAATGGTACAGTCTAAATTGTGTATTATAGGAAGGACTCGATTCATCAGGGACCTGTAAACTATAAGAAATTGAATACAATACATTTATTAAAATAAATTTACCTATTTCATTCTTATATACATAGTAATTAGTTGAAAAGTCTCTAAAATCAGTCTTTAATTCACAACTCTCTCCAGATAGCATTGCTGGAGGGAAACGGCTCATTTCTGAACAAATGAAAATCTATAGGGGAAGCGAAGGCAATGTTCTTTGTAGCGAGTGCCAGGTGGCAAGCCACAGTTGTATAATATATTTACTCCCTGTTCTCTATTGGCATTTGCTCTAGAAGCTGGGCAATCACTTCATTTCCCTGGGCTGCAATTTTCTCACCTATGAAAGGGATAGATGGGTTTAGATGCTATCTAAAATCCCTCCGAGTTTTAGGTTTCTGTTAAATGGCAGCCCATTTCTCACTTTATATTATCTGAAATCACAATGGAAATTCTCTGTATCTTGCCTTTGCAATAGCAAATTTCATATTATGTTTTGCCTCATATCTAATGCTACCATTTCACCAATTCTAGCTGCCTACTCATTTCTATTCTTATAATGTTTGTGTTTGTTAAGTGCCTTTTTCTTTCTGTTGCCAATGAAAAGCCATAATGGATTAACCTTCACTTCTCAACTAATTAAAATAAGTTTTTAAATAACACAACTAGAAAATGTTTCCTCTTTGTTAAAAAATACCCAATGAATAAAAATTACATATTTTTTAAAGTTTTCTTCTTTGCTGAACTACTTTTTGGATCTGTGGAAGAACATCAACAAAGGAGGCAGTCCTTGAAGCAAAACAATTAACAAATAGCTCCTCTAAGCAGCTGACAAAGACCCTGTTGTGTCGCTGCACAGCAGTTAGAAAGTTTAATGAAAAAAAGAAGGGCCAAAAAATTGACTTTTAAGAAACTAATCCCTTGAAAATGACGAGGAGCTGTGGCATCATATGTATCACACAAAATTGGTTAATGATATCAACTTATTAATGACTAAAACCAACTCCTTAATATGCAGAACTTAAAGTTTCAGGCTCTTGAGTATAGGTAAGATACTAGCCAAACCTCACAAGGGCAAATTCAAAATGGGATAAAAATAAAAAGGGAGAAGATTAAAGAATTAAATGTGCATTCATAAAAGCACTTTTTTTATCATGTCATCAATTATAGAATTTCTAATTGTGAAAACTAAATATTGCAACTTTTTGCAATATTTATTTTATAAATCCATTTATACTTATATTTATTTTATAAATACAATTATATACACAATATTTATTTTATAAGTACAATTATATAAATAAATTTTCATATATTATTAACTTTCTTTTAAAAATGATTAACATTTTATTGACTCTAGTTATTTTATGGTTAAAAACTATGTTATATTCATATATTTCAAGTAGAAGAAAAGCTATTATCTCCAGAATGCACTCAAATAAGCACATACATAGTAGAAAAATTCCGGTCTTTTCCACTTTCAAACACTGAGATGAAACATGTGAGTCAAGTGATATAAAAGCTTACTTTTCAGATGTTGTTGGTGATGCTGAAAAAGTACCCAAATTGGCTTTGGAAAACCTTGATTCAAATTCTGGCTCTGTGCTTTACTAAACACTCAACTTTGTAAAAGCTATTTCACTTTATATTGGCTATAAAGTTGAACTCACCATCTGCCCTTCATACCTACCATGTGTTGTGGAGTTCAAAGGTGATTGCGTATATGGAAGAGTTTTTTAAGGGGTAAAATGCCGTAAAATTGTTAATCAAGCTCTTCTGGAAGGATAGAGAAAGAGAAACAAATTAACTGAAAATCTGCAGAATTGTACTCATTTATAATCTTTGTCCTGCCTCTAATTAACCATTAATTAGATGAGTTTGAATGAAATATTTCATCTGGATTTTAGATTTTATTTTTGGGAAATGAGGAAGTTGTTAATTTGGAAGATCTCCATGCAGTCTTTGGTTCTAACTTCTATGATTTATAGCTGAAAAGTTTTTCCAGGGTCTGTCTTTTTTCTTTCAGCATTATCTTCTCCATGAGTGAATTCATCTACTTCAGAATCACCATAACTATTCATGTTACGAATTATTTTAAATTATAATTATTGACTACTATTTTCAGGCAATTAATCCCTTGTTCATAGCTTCAGTTCTTTCAACCATCAGAAATCTTCCCCTGCATATGCTAGAGATACATCAAGTATTAAATGCAAAAAAAAAAAAAAAAAAAATCACCATTTCTCTCTTCTCTAAAAATCAAGCAAAATTATATTTTTTTGCTTGTTCAAATTGTGGCACTAAAAGCTACCTTGGACTAAAACAAGAGAAAGAAAGAAAGACAAAATCCTGACTCTTCCTTCTTCATTATTCCCTAAGCTAATTAATTGAGAGTCCTACAAAATTGTAGTCTGTAAGTATTTATTTTTTCTACATATCCTAAATTTTCTAAAAGATAACATTAAAACCAGCAACTTGAAAAAAACTCATATAAAGCAGAAATAGATTACCTAAAAAGAAAATATAACTATAATCCTATAAGGACTATATGTCAAAGATGAACATAAAGTTTTAAGCACATTTTTATTTTGTACACATTTATAAATAGTAATTACTACTAAATTTTATAAAACTAAATTTCTGATAAAACTATCTTATAAATTATATAAAATTATAAAATATAAAATTAAAATATTTTTAACGCTTAAAAAATTTTATATATTAAAAATAACATTTTGTGACATGTCTATGTATCTATTATATTTAACTCATTCTTTTCGGAAGCTATATAGTCATTAATTCTATGAGTACACATTTAATTTTTTTACTATTTTTATCATTCAAAAATCATTAGAGTTAATATTTACCTTTGTGTATTGAGAAAAAGATTACGTGTGTATATATATAAATGAATGCACAAAAATGTATGCATTGAGTTTACTCACATGTATGTGTCACATATGATTTTTAGAAAGCAAAAATTTCACTTTTCAAAAATCATCTTTTCCTTCTCATTTACTACTGTCCTAATTCAGCAGTTTATAGTATCTTTCCTGAGTCACCACAATAGCTCCTTCACTTTTCCTAATGCCTGTAGGCTGTTGGTCTTTAAATCTGTTTTTGTCAACACCAGTCAAATGTTTCATTTGAAATGGAAATGAAAATGTGCTGTTGCTCTCCTTAAATGCATTAATTGCTTCCGGACACCCACAGGATAAAACCACCTTCCCAGATTGCCATGCAAATCCTCCATGATCTTGTTGTCACTTAGTACACTCCCGCTTGTATGTCTAAAATGCCTCCCCTATTTTTTTTGACTACCTCACTCTCACATATCTTCTGAGGCTTAATTCAGATATTACATTCATCCAGTGGCTTTGTAGACATCCTCAGATTGGTTTATGTGCTCATTTTATACATCCTTCACTTTCAAAGTCTGTCACTACGTTACTCTTTTATTTTAATCTCCAAAGGGTAGGGACTATACATCATGGCCAATCCCTAACATTCTGTAAAACAGCAGTAATAAAACTTTGAACTTCATGGAATTTGGTTGTTCAAGATTAATAAAACCTTAGGTAAGTTACCCTAGACCTTAGTTACTTGCCTGTTGTCTGAAGAAAAACCCAAACAATGAATTGTCCTAAGTTTAGAATGAATGTCTGTGAGTGGTATCTGGTGGCCTTCTAAGCCCTCTCTATTGTTTCTTAAACTCCAAAACCAAGCCCCTTCACCACCAACTGTGTCCATCTCAGACTGGCCCTATAGAAGCTAGAACCAAGATCAAGCTTACTGGTGAAGAATCTAAATTTCTTAAAGGCAAAGCACTACATCTTCATGTTTGTGTTGATTTCACACTTAACATAGTATCTTGTTTTACTTTTACTGATGAGACACCCACAAGGGCAATGAGGGAAATAAAACTAACCTCTTGAGACTTAACTGTAGAATCTTTATTAAATAGGCCAGAGCAAAGCGTTTATCTGATAGTAGAGAAATCCAATTAAATGATAGTAGAGAAATAAGTTATTAGTAAGTAGAGGCAAAATATGATAAATTTAAAATATTAAAAAGTAAAGTCTTAACAGAAAAATTCAGCATTGCCCTTCATGTGCTAAGAAGGAGGATTCTTAGTTGTAGACTTCCATATTTATGCATGATCACACTTTTCAACAATTTCATTTTCTTATTCTGATCCCATGTTCACAAAATGAGATATCTTCAAAAAACTTATAACAAGTATAGCTTGAGCATCAACCAATGTAAGCTACAGTCAGTCTGAATGAAATCGGTTCTAAAATATGACTATGATCTCATCAGTGGATACTGGCTGGACATTAGTTTTTTATTTTACTACTTTCCTAGGGCTGCTTTAACAAAGTAGCATAAACTGGATTGTATCAAACAACAGACATTTTTTTCTATCCCAGTTTTGGAGGCTAGAAGTCTGAAATCAAGATGTAGGAACTATGCAGGACATAGTTCCTTTGGGACTCTGGGTAGAACCCATCTTTGTCTCTCACTTGCTTCCATTGTTGGTAGTCAATCCCTGCTCTTTGACTTGAAGTTACATCACCTCAGTGTTTGCTTTGGTGGCCACCCGTTCTCCCTGTGCTTGTCTCTCACTTCGTCTTATAGGGACCGCTGTCTTATTTTTTAAGGGCCCATACTCCAGTATGAGCTCAAATTAATCACATCTACAAACACCCTATGTCCAAAGAAGGCCACATGCACAGATGCCGGGGTTAAAATTGTGACATATCTTTTGGGAGGTGAAATTCAACCCATAAGAACAGTTACCAAGCAACTATCTTTTTCCAGTGCCATCTCAGATATAACTTACTCCTGGGATAGAATGTATTACCACATGGAACTCCAGATTTGTTATTACTGATGTCCATGACTGTGAGTTACGTAAAAATCAATTTTCTAAGAAAGTTATCCATACATGTAGCCTTTTGTATTATGTGGCACCATGAGCAAATTCCTTAGACAACAAGCTTCCAGGACAGAACTTGGGTCTTAGAATGTTCTCTCAGGTACTAAATGTCCTGTTGAGAGGCCTTTCAGAAGATTGGAAATGCTTGTTAAAATTCTAGCTATAATCTTAGTAGGGTGCAATTATTTAATGTACGGGTAATGTACATTTGTTGAGTACAGCAAATAAGAAAAGAATAGTTATCGGTAAAAAAAAAAAAAAAATTCTTGTCATTAAAATGGGAAACTTGTCAAAATCAAAATGAAGCTGATTGTATCAAGCTCTGACAAAATGGAGTCAGGGAACGCCATGAAGAGAGAGTTCTCACGCGTAATTTCCTGATAACAAAAGACTCTGCCAACAGGAGGCGGAGTTGCAGTGAGCCGAGATCGCGCCACTGCACTCCAGCCTGAGCGACGGAGCAAGGCTCTGCTTCCAAAAAAAAAAGACTGCCAAAATCGCAACCTTGCACAGAGGCCAGAGTACATTACACATGTTATACTTCTACAATGACATCCGCCCAGCAACTACCCGTTTAATCTTGGACTGATACCATCCTTGTTATTGATTCTGGTAGCTAAGGATAATTGCTTAAAAATAACTTATGTAACCCTCTTCATTTTACCTTTAAAAACTTGTGTCTTGGGAGGCTGAGGCAGGAGGATCACCAGGTCAGGAGTTCGAGACCAGCCTGATCAACATGGTGAAACCCCATCTCTACTAAAAATACAAAAATTAGCCAGGCGTGGTGGTGTGCGCCTGTAATCCCAGCTACTCAGGAGGCTGAGACAGGAGAATTGCTTGAACCCGGGAGGCGGAGGTTGCAGTGAGCCAAGATCGCGCCACCGCACTCCAGCCTGGGCAACAAGAGCAAAACTCCGCCTCAACCAAAAAAAAAAAGAAAAGAAAAGAAAAGAAAAAGAAAACAAAAACAAAAACAAAAAAAAACCTTTGTCTTCCCCTTCCTCCTTAAATATGCTTATAGTTTATTACGGCACTGTATTTCCCATTGCAGTACTGACTCCCAGAGAAGCTCATTACCTTTGAATACTCTCTCTGTTGTCATTTTAAGTTGACATAAATTGGTGTCAAGAAATGTGACCTAAAGTGAGCTCACCTTGAAAGGATGGGTGACTCCTGCAATTACATGCATTACCCACTAGAACCTTTCTGAGCTCTTGGTTTCCATGTCTCATCTTTTCTTACCTGGTGAGTAGTCTTCTCTCAGGCTGAACTCCCTCCTTATGGTGAGTTCTTTTGACTTTATTCGGGATCTGGTTGGGATAAAAGCTGCCTTAACAAAGGACACTGCATCCCTCTTGGACCACAAAAGACTTTTTGTCTTTTCTGGCAAGCCCTTTCTGGTATAAGGACACTGATCTTCTGGATAATACTCTGGTTTTTGCAGAGTTTTTGTTCTGTCTATGATGACCTCCTGTGTTCTCTGATAAATTCACATTTGCTTTTTTTTCTATGCACCTGGTTTAATATTTTGTTTGCTCTACATGCCTGGTTTAAAATTTTTGTGAGTACTCTTTTTTGGGGTATCATTTTGGTTTGCTTATGTGCATCTAGAAATAATTTGGCTCTTACATTTTTTTCCTTGCTTGTTTCTGAACATCTTTCTAGAGCAAAATTATTTTTTAAATGGTGAATATGGGATGGCCACTAGAGTGATCACCACCATCTATGAGGAACTTCTGTTTTTGAGGGTAAACTATTCTGTGTTGGAAAACATTGGGTATGGACAGGCAAAGTTACTACTAGGGCACTTGCCAGTCTCCAGAAAAATGCAGTGCAAATAGGAAAAACCTGGTCACAGGTCAAACAACTAGAGCAAAGGTTACTTACGATTAAAAAAAAAAAAAAAGTCCTGTGTCAGGTACACTTGTCAAAGCAAAACGCTTTGCCCAAACCCTGAAAATCTAGATATAAATTATAGGATGTTTTTGTTCTTGAAAGATTAATGAGAAACAGAATGGAATCTTCAAATTCTAAGGCATGCTAAGTTGTCTAAGGACAAGCTTCTTTCAGAAACCTCAGCTTAATATACATACAAAATGTATAGCTTTTCTTCACACACATTTTTAAACCAATGGACAGGTTACACTAAAGATAATTTATGGCCATTATGGGCACCATTTGAGCTCCCCAAGCTTATTTCCCTTAGCATTAATGAAAAACAAACAAAAACAAAAAAATGCAACTATAGGGTTAAACAGTCTGAATGGTGCAGCAATATCTCTATTTCTCATTTTTTAAATTTCCTCTGAATCTGCTGACTTTTTTGCTTGTATTAAGACAAATCTGTGACTAAATTCATGGCAACTTAGAGGTTTATTTTCCAGGCAGTTTTAACTGAAATATAACATTTAAGACTCATTTGAGACCGAACAGCCAAAAAGAGTAAAGAGGGTTATTTTAAACTGCTATGAAAACCGCTTTACTTCAAATTAGGTCCACGGCCTTTATAAGATTACCTAACAGGACAAATAAAAATCTTGAGGTTTAGCCACATGAACAGGTGACGTTAACTTGTGCCATTTTGTTGGAAATATAATTTGGATCAAACTGTCTTTTATAAATTAGAGTGAGTTTATATTACTGTATTTTACTGTCTCATCACAAAAATTCTAAAATGAAAGGTATAAGATCTTTGTGTATATACATGTTTATGTGTTTTTATACATGTATTTTCTGTCTGCAATGGTAAAATCTCTTAAAGAATTCTATTCAAATTGGCTCAGTGATAAATGAGGACTTAGGCTAATTATACTTAAAACTTTAAAAATATACAGTAAGCCAGATGTCTTTTAGTTCACATGACTCAAGTAAATCTTTGGTAAATAAACTGTTTTTACATTTGTTGGTAAAAATAAAGATGAAGGTGTCTTCAGAGTTGTGAGCACACATGTTTTGTCTGGGTTTGCTGATCAGACAAGGTTATATATGTCTCTCCTAGAGAATTTAAGGTCATAAATCTGTACATTCAGCCTAAGAGCAAAATTATCTTTGTGTAACTTCTGATAAATTAGACTAATATAATATTGTTGGTTTCATGTAAACAGCTGTATCTTCTGAGTTATTGCAAAAATGCTCATATATTTTACTTTATCCTTACTTGGATCATTAACATCTGATATTCACAAGCTATAAAAATGGTTAAGAGAACAATAATTTAAAATGATGACTAGCTTTGCCTAGTATCTCAGTTTTCATAAATAATTTATGAATAATTGTTAAAAAATAACTTAATAGGTGTAAATGGAATAGATATTTATAAATGAACTTCTTATTCAATTTTTTATGTAATTTGATATCTTAAATTTATGTTATTCTAAATTAAATAATACATATTTATAGAGTGCCTAGGTCATTTCCAAGTAAGTTAAAATACTAAAATGCTGATTGCTGAACATAGATTCAAGTTTATTTACTTTTGGATTCTTAAATTTTATTAAAAAAATGGAAAACACTTTGGTCTGTTGGTAAATATCTTCTATTCCCCATTGAAAATTTATTCTGTGAGAAGCACATATTTTTAGAAATTATAAAATATGTTTTCATAAAATGTTGAAATGTGACAGGTTACAATTTGCTTACTTATGTTTTTGCTGGAAATTAAATATACTGACAGTTACAATTTGTAATTAATATATATAATTATATATACAAAGTGTACCAGAAAAGTAAAATGTGCTATTGGCTAAAAAATATGTGTGTATGTATGTGGTATGTGTGTATGTATATATATACATACACACATACATATACAAATATATACACACACATATACAAATATGTATATATGACATGAGAATATATATGACATATAAATGTGTATATATGACATGAAAATATATATACATGTGACAAATATTTATGACATTAAAATATGTTTTCTATTTAAAAGGAATGGTTTTGTCTACAGTTAGAGGTTATTTAAAGGTTATCTTAGAATATGAATTTAAGAATAAATTAAAAACAAGGCTAAAAGGAGCCAATAAGTAGGAGACAGATGCAAAGAAAGTTGTAAGTATGAAAATGTATTTCTGTTCAGGAAAGCTAAAAGAAAAAAGGGGGTGACTTTTGTCTGAGAAAGAATTTTGAGTAGTCTCTATAATAAGGAAAAAGATAAAATACATTTTTGTCCAAGGTAGAGTGGTTGGTTTTTCTAATTTTTAAAAAGCACAGGGCAAAACTGATGTCTTAAGCAAGTCATAGAATGTTTGAACAAGGTGTAGAAGATTCGAGCAAGTTATAAAAGGTCTGAGAAAGTTGTAAAAGGTTTATAAAATATGAATCTTATAAGAGGAATTTTATGTGTGATCAAGTTGGCTGTAATTATTTGAAAGTTTTTCTAAGAATTATTAATATCAAAGTACAATAATGCAAAACCAGAATCTAGTCCCCTACATTTAAACAAGATTTTCTTGGAAAATTGATCTGCTCTTAATTTTAAAAAATTTTGCAAGAGGTTTTAAATTTTTAATTCTGAAATTTGTTTAAAATTTCACCCATCTCCTGAACTTCTGAACTACAGCTTTTTAATATTTTACATTTTCCATTTAATTCCATTTTGGTTTTCATTTAATTACCCTGATCAGGTTACGATTGCTATCTTCACTCAAAATAATAATTGTATTTCTCAAAATAAAATTTTCCTTTTAAAGCTTTTGATATTTATATCTCACAACTTCAACTTTTGCTGTATCTCATTGCACTTGATTTGCAGGTCATGTGTCATTGCCTTCTGCTCTTCATCCTTCTCTCCTTGAAAAGATACCTTTTTGTGGGGCGGCTTGGCTGGAATAATGACTCTTTTGCTTAGCTTTTTTATTAGTTTCGGTAGCTTTTTCTTTCCCCAGTTCTGACTGTGCTATTGTGACGTGATGCTAAAAGTATTTGTGTCGATGGTCTAAGACAGTACTGTCTTCCTCCAGTAACTTGATTCTGTACTACTGGCTTTTTTTTGGTATGTTTGAATTGTTCTTCATGACCAGGAAATTTCACATGCCTTTACTATTTCCAAGATTCATATACTCTCCTGCTCATGGTACTAGTTTTCTTAGTTATTTCTTCTACAATATGGTGTACATTTAAAACTTAGGGCATACATACTTCCAGTGTTTGATTGAATTAAAGTACATTTTCATCAGGTTTGACTTCCAGGATATCTAAATGGGCTTCCCATAAACAGAAGCAATCACACTACAGGACATTTTTCTTTATCATTTAAAAATTGGCCTACAAAAACAAAGATTTGTTTCATCAAGATTATTTTCTGTGCTTCTTGTCTTTAGTAAGTCTGTTTGATTGCTTAGCCAAAAATGAGTCATCTCTGTTAGAGGTCTGAGATTCTTTTTAAATATATGTAACTTTCTGTATTGGTTTTTGAAGTCTTTAAATTATCGTTCTGGTTAAACGGCTGGTTATTATTTCACAGTGACCTGTGATGCTATTTTAATCAAGTGTCTTAAAATTTTGACATCTTTGGCAAGCTTCCTAAGAATCAAAGTTCTAAATTAAGTCTTTCTAACTGCAAACTAACTTTTGGAATCTAATTGGGCCCCTAGAACTCTGAAGGTGTGTTTCTCACCTAAATATTAACTAACATGGCCCATTTACCATGTTAGATTGCGTGGGAAGCATTGCCAAATGATAGAGTGATGCTAAATTTTCTTTAAGTTCTATTTATATAAATATGCTATTGATGTAAATGTCCTAAGGATTATGTAAAATGTATAGAAGTCTGATGGTCCTGGAGTGATGCTATCAGTCATGATGCTCATTGTTACCTTAAAATAATGTATGAAATAAAAATAATTGGAGTTCATTGTCAATTGCATCATTATAATAAACTCTTACCAGATTTTTAAGCATGGCTATTCTATCTCTTTTTCATCCACAGTTATTGTTTTAAGTCTTCTCTAAAGACATCAATAGTCAGATTCATGAAAAAATATTTCTAATCATTACTCTTAAATACAGGTTTATAATAACTTTAAGATCAGTGGATTAACTAAGAACTTCCAGATCACTATTTTAAAAATTGATAAATTTGTGACACTGCTGAGAGAATAAATAAACTGATTTTTTAAATTATGAGTTTTACAGGCTATTTATTTAAAACATTACTGGTTCTTTACTTAAATGGGTTTTTTTCCCCCCCCTGGATTTAAGGTATCTATAGTTAACAGGAATTTGGTAAGTATCCTTTTCTGAACAAAATAAAAAATATTTACTTTTTCTCCCTATTTGATCTTTCCAAAATTCTGAAACTATTTCTAAGTATTCTTATTTTTATGTGAATAGGGTTACTTACATAAGTTCAATGGGAATCTGTTTCTTCTTGTAATAGAGTCTAATTGAAAATCTTGATTATGTTACCAAGGTATTGACTGGGATGTTATATTTAAATTGTTTCAGGTACTGCAGACAAAATCTGAAGTCTGCTTGGTTTGGCTTTCCGCCTTGAGAGGCTTTCTGGAGTCCAATTTGAGATTACTTATGTAGTCAATCATTATTCTTGCTGCACTTAGGTAATTAATCATGTCAAACTGGATAAAATTAAACTTTTACAAACAAATTTGTCTTACCAATTATCTTTGGCAAAAATCAGGTAGAGAAACATATTATTTTCTAAAGAAAACTATAATATACCTGTTATAAGATTGTAGCCCTGTGCATTGATTTTTGCATTTTTATTTTCTACTTGTAGACCAGACTAAATCTTGAGTTCTAGTTTCCTTCCATATGCTTGTTTTCTATGTAATTACCAAGAAAAAATTGCTTTTTTCTAAAGCACCTTAAGCTGAAGCTGGACAATTTAATATAAATTTCAAGGAATAAGCTTCATACAGATGCCATAACCAGAGACGTTCAAACTGAAAACCACAATGAGAAATTGATGGCTTCATGTTGTGGAAAACTGTCCCTAAAACAATGGAACAAGATTTCCATTTTAATGAGGTTCTTGCCCTATTAAATTTTCCTTGTTTATACCTACCATTTTTACTTGGCAGAATAATGGTGTAGTTAAAATTTCACAATCAGTAGGTTCTGTAGGCTAAACACTGGTTAAATAAGGAAATTTATGTACTATTGCTAATGCTACATGATATATCTGGATAAATTTGTCTGAAGACATTGAGACCCCAAAACATAAGATAAGAAAACAAGACACATACTTACAGCAGGTCTCATCTAGCTCACCATGGTCATTTAATGTATTCAGTTGGTGGCCTTTAAGCCAAAATTCATGGCTCAAAACTATTATACATGGCTTGTGCCTATAATCCCAGCACTTTGGGAGGCCAAGGTGGGCAGATCATGAGGTCAGGAGATCAAGACCCTCCTTGCTAACATGGTGAAACCCCATCTCTACTAAAAATACAAACATTAGCCAGGCTGATGGTGGGCACCTGTAGTCCCAGCTACTTGGGAGGCTGAGGCAGGAGAATCACTTGAGCATGGGAGATGGAGGTTGCAGTGAGCCGAGATCATGCCATTGCATTCCAGCCCAGGCGACAGAGCGAGACTCCGTCTCAACAACAACAACAACAACAACAACAACAACAACAACAACTATTATACAAGCTCCATTATTATATTACTATTAATTTTACTTTGTATTTTCCTTTCTAAATATTGTAACTATTTCTGCAGAACTACAACTTATAACAGAATAATGGTGTGCTAGGACTTTGAGATGATAGTCAATGCCTATGGAAGAGACAAAATTGAACTTAACAATGGATTCCGACTAGTCTCAGCCTAAGACTTAATCCCTTTAAATCCCCTTTATTGCTGAAATCTGGCCAAAAAGCTCTTAACACTGACTCCTAGTTGCCAATCACTTTCCTCCAATGTGGTACCAGACCAACAACCAGGACAGGTCCATCCCTGCACCAAAAGACAATCGAAACCTAAACATAAGATGTTTGATCAGCAGTGCTTCCAGTGAAAGGTCTTGCTCAAAAGTGGGAAATGTGAAATATGTCAAAATTAAAACAAAGTCATTTGTGTCAAACTCTGACAAAATGGAGCCAGGGAAGGCCATAAAGGGAGGGTATCATACATGATTGCCTGGTAACAAGAACTATCACAAAAGACTGGCAAAACTACAACCTTGCACAAAGGCCACCACAACTTTACACAAAAAATACTTCTGTGATGACATCCACCCAGCAACCGCCTCTTCAACCTTGTATGGACACAACCCTTGTTATTGATTCTTGTAGCGAAAGATAATTGTTTCAAAATAATTTATGTAACTTAAATATTTTATGCAAAATACAAAATTACACAAAATAATTTATGTAATTTTAAAATCTTCATTTTCCTCTGTCTCCCTGAATATGCCTGTAGTTGACTGTGGCACTATATTCCACATTGCAGGGTTCACTCTCAAATTAACTCATTATCTCTGATGATCATTTTTCTGTTATTATTTTACACTGACAAGAAATACCATCCAAATAATAAGTCAGAAATGCATATGCCATTATAGCTTTGAGGTATATGACTCATTCCCAAAAATATGGCCTTAACTTTCCTACTAAGTGTACCTCAGACTTGTCACAGAAACAGAATAATGATAAAATCACTTTATTCAGAATGTATGAGTGTTTTATTTTTGTTACATAGTATATCAAAAACACTCAGTTAAGCAGTGACTAGGAAGTCATAAGAAAAGAGAGAGTCCCAGTCACCTCCAGTGATTTTTAAACTGTATTGCGTTTGGGATTCTAAGAGTCCCACTACTGTGACCCCATGACTCTCACGAGAGTCACAGCTTGGGGAGACCCTATTACTGATATTAGTTGGAGGTATTCCCAGTTATTTAAAAAAGAAAAGAAAAGTTAAAAACTCCTAATCTCAAGAATAATGACTGTGTACTAGAGTAAAAACAGAAGATTCTCCTAAGGCATCTATCATGCTCATATATTTGATGGCAGCAGTGGCCCATCTGGAGTGGCCACTGCGAAGACACTGGCTGCAGCAGGGGAGTGCAGCTGGGGCTGCAAGTGAGCTGGCGGGAGCCAGGGAGGTGGGAGCCCCACCCCCTTCCAAGTTGCCTGGGCAGGAGCTCTGCCTTTCCCAGCACAGCTGCAGCTGCCCAGCCATTGTGGACCTGGGCATCCCTCCACTCTCGGGGGCCTGGAAAGCCTCCCCCACCCCTACCCCCACAAACTCAGAAGTGCTTGCTCTTGCTGCCTGGCCTCTCCCTGCTCTCAGGGCCCTCTCTAATTTTGGAACAAAGTTGTGGCCAAGCCCAGGCACTGTCACGACCTGGCCGGGTGTGGGCACACTCATGGTGGTGCTGACACAGCAGCCCCCTGCTGACTCGGCCCACTCCAGACTTTGGACACTGACAAGCACAGGAGGAGGGCTGAGGGAGTGCTGAGGGCCACTTGGTGTGGGCCTGCAAGCACCCCTAGGCACAAACAGCCTAGATGCTGCGGATGAAATGTAGATGGCAGCAGGAGGCAGACAGCCTCCTGGGTGGAAAGGGGTGTGTCCCCAGTGAAGCCCCACCTTCAAGCCAGGGACAACCTGAAGCCTAGTGGCCGAACTGTCAGTTCCAGGTGGAGTCTGTGCCCGGAGTGAGAACTTATGGTGCTTTTTCCTGGCCTGTGCATGGTCACCCATGAACCCATCAGCACATACATTCTGAGCTCATAAAAACCCTGGACTCAGCCAGACTCAGGCAGATGTCAGGATGACATGGCTGCAGATAGGAGCTACCCACTGTGGATCTCATCCCTGCTGAGAGTTGTAGTCATCAGGATGACCTGCTTGCAGAAAGGAGCTGCCCACTTCAGCTCTCCTGAGAGCTGTAATGTGGCTCAATAAGGCACTTCTTCATCTTGCTCACTCTCCAGTTGTCCATGTACCTCATTCTTCCTAGATGTGGGACAAGAACTCAAGACCCACAGAATGGTGGGATTGAAAGAGCTGGTAACACAAATGGCTCAAACATGCCCCCTCTCTCCACATTGTGGGAAACAAGAAGGAGAGAAGAAAGGAGAGAAGAGCTGCAGCCCTTCAGGGAGCCTAGACCTAGGACCTCCCCAAGCCAGTGCTGTGACACCCACTTTAGGGCTCTGCAGTTCCTGGCATCTCCAAGCTTCCAGGCACCACTGTGTTCCCCGGTGCCTGCAGTGGAAGCCACTTGCAGGACACTTGGTCCAGCTGCAGCCTTGCAGGAAGCCGACGCCCATGCCAGTGCCTGGAGCTGCCTGCCCCACCACAGCTGCTTGCCTGGTTGTGTGCAGTGGCCAGACTCTGCGCTCGCTCTCTTACACACCCCTTGTCACTCTGCCCCAGGCTCACCTTTGGCAGCATGAGATCCAGGCCAGTAGCATGAGCTGAGCACAGCCTGCTAGGCTGAGCGGGCAGAACGAGGCCAGTGAGCAAAACTTGGGCAAAGACGCCACTGGCCATAGAGGTTCCCAACTGTAAAAGCAACACCTGAAGGATCCTGTGACATATTTTCTTTTGTGTCTGGAGGAACTGGCTTTTTTAGACATTGAAATTGACAAAGAAATACATTTTAAGAATAAATATGTGCAAAATTATGAATAACAAAACAAATCAAACAAACAAAAAGACAAAGAACTACTAAGTGTGCTAAGGAATTCCACATGGTGAAGTATAAAGTTCTGGGTTTAATAAGATTTGGCTTTAAGCAGGTCTTTTATATGTTGTCCCAGCTTTGCTTTTGCTGAAACCATCTTAATTAAGTCATTAGAGAGAAGTAACTCTTTGTGGTAACTGAATATTTACATGCTTTTACATTTGTAAGAAGTTTCCAACACTGAACAAATAGTTAAGAAAAGTTAAGAGATTTACAAGATTTTTGTCCTACAGGAAGTGAAAACCTAAGGCCTTACTATATTGTTGGGGGAAAGCACTGCTTTGAAAGCTGAGCTATTTGCAGCAATAGAAAGCCATGTTACAAACATTAGGTAAATTAATAGGAATCTTTTCTGAAAATATTTGAGGAAATAGCTTCTGGCATCCAATGTTGCTTTAAAACAAAAAAATAAAATCATTCTAGGCATTATCTATACAACAAGTTTTGTAGAAAAAATAACCCGTCTAGGATTTAGCAGCATTAGTGATACAAAATAACTGTTAAAATGTATGTAAAGTGTTCCAACAATATTAATGAGAAAATCATTACAGTAAGTAAAATATCTTGATTCCAAATAGTTAAAAGTGTTGCTGTGTTAAAAATAATGTTAAAAGCTTTTTGCATTCCAAGTGCAAAAAGCTATACCTTGTATTAATTAACCTAAATATTCTTTGTCAGGCTTAGTATCACAGCACTGAGGGCTGCCAGACCCATAACTGTGTGAAAGTCCTGAATTTTTGCCAGTTCTGGATGCAGTCTCATTAGCATATTCATAAGTCACAGCCTTGTGCAGGTGCCAGAAAGCTGCAAAATGTTTTGTGACTATTTGTTGCAGCAATAGAGGGAGATAGTAAATTAGTCTTAAAAAAAAAAACCTTTTATATAAAACATAACATTTAATGCTGTAGAATAACTGCAAAGGCTTTTTGGTAATTACTCCATATCAAATGAAGCAATACTTTTTTCATGACTAATGTAAATAATAGGAATCCAGAGCAAAGGAAATATAATAGTGCTTTTCTTATAGTAGATGAATTAGAAATAAATTTGAGTTTTGTTAAGTGATCAACTTTTTCTAGGTAGACTATTTCATGTTCAAGAGACAGAGTTGAAAATTTATATTCTTCATTAACATTGAATTCTTAATAGTTTATTTTTTAAATACCTTGAGTCCACTAAATAAAATGCTAGAAAATACTTTTTAAAAAATATAAGTACTACTCAATATTCAATCCCTTTTCAAATGAGTATGTGCACACACACACCTCCCATACACTTTTTAATCAGATGATTGATTAGAAAATTGTCTTACTTCCTTTATCCATTTACTTCAGAAAAGATGCTGTCACAATAAAATAAAATCATTGTACCATAAGTGGCCTGAGAGGTTTTAGAACCGTTCCATGTTTCCGGAGTTTAAAAGAAAAGCCTACATACACTCATACATTTTCTGTTCTGTTGCATTTATAGAATCAGTGTCTTACATACTCTGACTCAAACCTAAATAAAAAGATTTGTTTTATTTTGGTTTTTATTTTTACAGAATAAAGATGTAAGGAATGAAATCTGTCATTTTAGTTAACTCTAATATTTCAATCCCAAAATATAGCATTGTTACAATATTGCTGTAACAAACATATATAATAAAAGTTTTCATCTTTAACATCTTGTGTATGTCTGCTTGTCTTTATGAGATATATATGCCTCAAACACATGGACATGTGTATACATACACACACACACACCTATGTGACACCATTTTCATTTTTGTACTGTAAGAAATAAGTTTCCAGCTTGAAGGCGCATGTAAAAAACTTATATTTGTATGAATATAAGTATATGAATAGAATGAAATGAAAGATATATTAGGATCATAATTGAAAATATTATGATTTTTGTTTAGATTTCAGTTAAATTTAGTACACATTTTAGTTTGTAATGGACATTTGTATAATCTGCAAAGATTTCAGAAATTAAAAGGAAAAACATCAAGGGTGAGATCGATAGGCCTCATTTTTCTTTTTGTTATAGGCATATTGCAGCTTTATTCTTTGTGTTTTACTTAGTTCAGTTTATTTCAGCAAATATCTATTAGAGACTTTCCTATGTGCAAAACACTGTTAAATTCTGTGGAAATAAAATTACAAAACCCATTCTCTAAAGGAGCTTTACAGTGTAGTGAGGGAGACAAATAATTAGCAAATTTTAAAATAATACAGAACACACTGTGATATAGTTATGCCAGGGGAGCAATTACCTTTATTCTCACCTTTCCCAGTAATAAAGTAGCTTCTGAATTTGAAATGTTATGCCAGAAGATTAAGACTTCAGGAAGACAAAAACCAGCAAGGTAATTTGATCTTTCCACCTTCAAGTTTGAGTCATGGACTGCAGAAGACTACAATCAGACAGGGCAACATTTTAAAATAAATGTCAGTAACAGCTGTGGATTTTCTACTGGCAATAAGCCAAGTAGGTGTGAAAGGCAGAAAAATTTGTGCACCTCAAGGTGCATGATCTTCAGAGTTATAATTTGTTATGCTCAGATAACTGAGGCACTGATGGAAAAGGATTCATTTTTATAACAGTACTTGGAAATTTTTCAAATTGATGGAATATTTCCCTTTCTAATCTAATTCTATTTAGCTGTCCATTGTTTGCTGCATTTTTGAAATGAAAGCAAAATAGAAACACATTAGCAATATTCTCTGACTCTTTTAATAGTCTCTTTCCATCTGTTTCTGGTCTCAGAAATAGCCATCATAAAATTCATACCTCACACTCTTGTCAATTTCATATTAGTTTTCCGATGAGAAAAGTAAATAATTTCTTATACTGTAACTGCTTTGTGTTCTTTTTAATTGGACAAAGTATATGGGGATCTTCTGATTTGTCTCTTTTGTGTGTTTCTCTGACACACATACACACACATGCACATACACAGCTTTGACAGAAAAATATTAAAAGCAAGAGGTCACTAACTGTGTAATCAACATGACATATTTGATCAGTCAAGAGGTACTACATAGAACTTAAATGCCCAATCTGGTATTTGGATTTTGGTTATAATCACAGATTACTTATTTTCTTGATTTTGTATATGTCTGTTGTCAGGACTTAAGAAATGAGACCCAGCCACAAGCTACAAGACGTACATCTGAAGAATTTTGTCTACTTAAATTACAGGCATTCTTCCTTGAAAAAAAATTCTGATGGACAGAACAATACATTTATGATCAGAATTTAGATAAAAAGTAAATGTTCCACTTTAATACTGAGTTATCTCTTTGGATGAATATAATTTTATTCCTTGTCTCAGTGGTCATTGCAATAGGCAGTATCAAGACAAGTCTACTGAATGGGCTATCATTTATGCATTATAATGTAGTTTGGATATAAGATGCTAACATTCATTTTGGTTTAAAAGCTGTCTATAGCACATAAACGAATTTTTTCCTCAATTAATTATGTCTTGTCTTGACCTTTTAAACAGACTCAAAATTGCACAACCATATTTCAAGGCCATCTTTTTTTAAATATACACTTCCTGCTTTAAAAAATTCAAGTTTAAAGTGTTAATTTATCATTATCTATTCTCTTTGTGTTTTGGAGAAAACAACTTTTTAATTCTCCCTTAGAAAACAGCACATTAATTCAGGAGTCTCCCTATGAAATATCTTATCATAGTCTAAACTTCTTTATGAGTAATATAAATGCAAAACACGAACCTGCCACATCTCATTGATTCTCTTTCTTATTTCTCTTGACCTCTATGTGCTTCAGTATGTGCTGCCACAAATCAAAAATTCCTAGAGCAAAACTTTTCTGCAAGAGTAAAATAAAATGAACAAAAAGGAGGAAGCCCATTTTTAGGTCATATCTTAGGTATACTGTTTTTCTCTACAGAAAATGCACACATATTTTTTTCTCTGATTGTATATTAGTGTTATCAAAAATTGCCCCTAAAATCAGAGCTAAACTACTATAGATGTCTTTTAAATCTTTTTCTGAATTGTGTGCTATGCTTCAGTGACAAATCAGTCATTTTGTTGACTCTGGTTTGACAAGCTTTGGAGAAACTAGAGCATTCTTTTAGGATTCAGAGTGAAGATAGTGACTGACTGATTAAGTTATTTGCTCTTCAGAGATCTGCACTGAAGATACCTTTTACTTAAAGTAGATTGTTTTGTTGTTTTGCCTTTATGACCAAGGCAAGCCCTAGAATAGACAGTCACTTCGGTTTTTTCCTAAATAGCATAATTTTTTATCTAAAACATCAATTCACATGTCCTTATAATAAATATCGAAAGCCATTGGAAATTAGATTCTTATTAAAAGCAAAAATGAATATTGAGCATTGATGAGAAGTAAATGCGTCCCTTCCACTACTACCTCCAAGAAAGTATTTCTTCATGCATTCATCAAACATATACTGAGCATCTATTTGTTCCTATCTCAGTACAATACCCAGGAATTAAACGATAATAGAGCAGACTGTTAAGAGGGCAGAAGGTAAATAAATAATTCAATTATAATTATTAGAAAAAAGTATAATAAAATATTATAAATGAGAGCAGAAATTATATACTTTTATACTAGCTACTTTCTATGCACCAAGAACTACACAGACCGCACTGTAATCTGCACATATTTCATTGAATCATCAATACATCTCGGTAATATCAATATGATTATTTTGATGATTTAGAAGAAACAATTGAGGATGAGAGAACTTTAGAAAATTGAAATATGGTTCTTGACTATCAGGTGATAGAATCCAAATTGAGTTACTCCAAACCTCATATGTTTTTTTCATTATACTTGAAAGCTAAGTAAGCCTGGAATGTTCACAAAGGACTTGGCAGAAAAGACGACGTGTGATCCAAGACTTGAGGATAACCAGGATTTTCCTATATGGTTAAGGTGTTAAAGGACATTCCAGGCCATGGGAACAGCTTATGCAACAAAAGCAAGTGCTATATTTAAGGATCTGTGAGTTATGTGTAGTTCTGGCTGTGTTTGAAGTGAATTTCTGAAGGGAACTGTAGTGTAAGAAGTTGGCAGGAAATGTCAGAGATGGTTGAGGTTGTTGTTTTGTTATAAGAATGACAGTGGAAAAACATATTTTTATTAGGAACTTACAAAGAAATACAGATCAAGATTGGGGGAGGGGGGCAAGAAGCATACTGTAAGTTATCTGACCATTAAAGTTGGATGGAATTAGGGCAGCAACAGAAAGGAAGGCATGGTACAGAAAAATAAAAACATGTTTTTATTTTTGTTTTTGTTTGTTTGAGAGTTTGAGAAGCACTGATTGGGCTGATTTAGTTCCTGATTTTGTATGAGTGTTGAAGGAAAGGAGAGAATGAAGATACTCAGGCTCCTACGTTTGGGACTGCATAAATCTTGCAGCCATATCATAATGTGAATTTTTTTTTTCTTTTTTTGAGATGGAGCCTGGCTCTGTCGCCAAGGCTGGAGTACAGTGGCGCGATCTCGGCTCACTGCAAGCTACGCCCCCCGGGTTCAAGCGATTCTCCTGCCTCAGCCTGACCAGTAGTGGGAATTACAGGCGCCCATCACGCCCGGCTAATTTTTTTTTTTTTTTTTTGTATTTTTTTAGTAGAGATGGAGTTTCACCATGTTGGCCAGGATGGTCTCTATCTCCTGACCTCGTGATCTGCCCGCCTCGGCCTCCCAAAGTGCTGGGATTACAGGTGTAATCCCATGCCTGGCCACCACGCCTGGCCACACAATATGAATTTTTAAAAGAGGTAAAAGGAGGTTAAAATTATTAAATCATTTTGCGCCATGCTTTATGTTTGATTACATAAAGCACCTGTAAAGTGAAACAACAACAACAACAACAAAAGAAACTAGACCCTGAAGAGCAAAATGTTTAAGCTGTGAGTAGGGGAGGAGAAACTATCAAAAGAATAATTTAAAAAAGGCAGGGAGAGACAAGAAGAAATTTCTTAGAAGTGAAGCATAAAAATATTTTCCAATAGGAATGGTCAACAACATCACATACTATTAGAGTGTCAAAAGAATGAGAAGCAACATAGGCCATCTGATTTAGCAAAATATGGTAAATGCTTCCGTAAGATTATGGAAAAGTCTTAAATGTGGTGAACATGGTTAAGAAGTAGGATGAAACCAGTACCTTCATAATACATGCTGGAAAGTACATCAGATTTGTGAAAATAAAGGCAGATAAGGTGGTCTATTATATTAAATAATTTGCATAGCAAAAGGAAAAAGCTAATAGGTGAGAAGGCTTAGGGGAAAGTGCAATAACATAGAAAGATTTTCACTGTTTGTGGTCTTTTATGCTGAGAAAGATTTAAATACTTTTGTACTCTGTAGAGAAGAAACCAGAGGATGAGATAGAGTAGAAAGTAAGGAGGAAGAAAGGAAATGAGAGAGAAAGGGAAGGAGATAAGGGAAGAAAAGAAGGAGGAAGGGAGAGCGAGAGAAAGAGAGAGAGAGAGACTGATGCTATGTGAGAGACATTAAGCTAAGAATTAAACTCTCAGATAAGGCATTGTGGGATGGCATCCAGAGGCAAATGGAGATGATCCTGGAAAGAAAAGTAAACGAGGGAAATTTCTTGTTCTAAACCCAGAGGAAAGAAACATAAATATTGTAGCTTTATTTTCTCTCTTGTTTGAAAGATGGTCATCTGCAGAGGTAAAATGACCTGCAGACCGAGTAGGAGTTTGTGAAACTGTGAATGGCATATGCAGTCATTGGGATGAGTGAAAGAGGAGGAACCAGGGACAAATATGGCATTCCCTTATAAACAATTCAGGTGAAATTAGAGAGTATAAGTTCCTTTGGTATTCACCCTTGGGCACAGATCAAATGGTTTGTCTTTGTTGGCTCAGGGATAGTTACCTTGAACATGAAATACGAGTTGAACAGGAACCAGACTAAGCTGCTGAAGGAAAAGGTAACATTTTTCTCCCTACTCAATTAGTAATCAAAATGAATCCACATAATATAAGTAGTTTATCTCCACATGGTTTTCATGATATCCTTCGATGTATTCATGAAGAATTTAGCATCTATCAATTTCATTTTAGATGGGAGATTATCTCTTAATTTTAACTCCTGAATATTTTTTACCTCATCTATGTGCACATTCCCCCTTCCTGATGAGCCACATCGGGCTTCTTGATTTTTTACTTTCCGTTTTTAGGACTTTGTCTAAAATCTTCTTCACACACATTCTGCTCCTTCTCTTCACCTTTTACTTTTCTGCTCATCCGTCACTTCTACCAAGTAGCTTTCCTGAAGCATCCAAGTTGAAGCTGTTCAACATTCTTGAATATGCTCACACCTCACCTGTGTCACATTCTAGCTTCTTACCCAATTTTATTTACTTTATATTATTCTCTGAAATCATGTTATTATATACTAAACCAAGTTCATTATTTTGCTTTTTTATTGGCATGAAAGTTAACTTCATAAATGGAAGGATTTTGGACAACTTATTCACTAATATCTGTAGTCCCTAAAATAGTGCCTGACAAATAATATGGCTCAAAATATTGCTAATGAAAAACTGAATGGATTGGAGAAACAGAAATTGCCTGAGAATGTACTTCTGGCCTGACTGTGCAATCAGCTGCATCACAAAGAAACAAAGAAGAAGAAAGAGGAACAGGAGCTAGAGCAGGAGGAGGAACAATGATTAATTACAGATTGCTGTTTCAGGCATGTCCTTTGGGCAATTTTTATGCATACACAGAGAAAAACAATCTCCAATACTATTCTGTAAAAGTATTAGAAAGAAGACAAGTAGGTTAAAAACAGTTATACTGGAGTGATAGATCAATTTGCATCTTGTGAACCTCAGTATTTTTGTAGATTATTTTTTAAAATTTAGTAAAACAAATATGTTATCAAAAGTTTCAATAAAAACTTTATGTGGTTTTACTTTGATGTCGAGTAAATATCTGACTTTATTGACTTCTAACTTTCCAAGATATTCAAATTTAATTAATTATAAGACATTTAAATTTAATGAAATATCACCATTAACTTTTTAGAGGAGATACTATAGAAATTCCAAATTATATTCATAAAATAAGTTGTTATCTGTTCATTGCAGAAAATTGTTTTCTAAATATTATTAATTTATTCAATTGAAAATGAGCTATGTTAAGAATAGATCAAAAATTTGGCTTAGTAGACTACAACAAAATATAAAAGCTACTTTGCTATAATAATTTAATAAAATTTACTTTCTTATCCCTTTTGATACTGTCAGGCCTCTGAGCCCAAGCCAAGCCATTGCATCCCCTGTGACTTGCACGTATAAGCCCAGATGGCCTGAAGTAACTGAAGAATCACAAAAGAAGTGAATATGCCCTGCCCCACCTTAACTGATGACATTCCACCACAAAAGTGTAAATGGCCGGTCCTTGCCTTAAGTGATGACATTACTTTGTGAAAGTCCTTTCCCTGGCTCATCCTGGCTCAAAAAGCACCCCCACTGAGCACCTTGCGACCCCCACTCCTGCCCGCCAGAGAACAAACCCCCTTTGACTGTAATTTTCCTTTACCTACCCAAATCCTATAAAACGGCCCCACCCTTATCTCCCTTTGCTGACTCTCTTTTCGGACTCAGCCCACCTGCACCCAGGTGAAATAAACAGCCATGGTGCTCACACAAAGCCTGTTTGGTGGTCTCTTCACACGGACGCGCATGAAAGATACCCCCATAATACAAACATTCTACATAAAAATATGAATACAGCTTTGTTTTGTCCTTTAACAAACTTGAACTATTCTGCATGGAATTGCAGAAGTACAGCATATAAATTCTGGCAAGTTCTTGAAATTTGGAAATAACATGAAACCATGAAGATTTTCCTAATGTGGTGAAAAGAACACTTCAGCCAAAATAAGATCACATTTGGCAGTCACTTTACAGAAGAAAAGAGCTCTTGAAAAAGGTCTGCAACGCACTTTCTATGAAACAGGTAGGTATTTGGTTCAATATTAGTTCTGCGTATATTCCATATTGCATATCATTCTCTAGCTGTTCGAAGTTAAAAGTAAAATCTCTTTTATCCCATATTTTGAACTGAGTTTACCTGGGACAAGCTAACACGTCCATTTTAAATATACTGTATTTTCTAATTTTCTTGTACCACAAGTCTTTTTGTTTGGTTTGTTTCCTGTAAATCTGTTTTTCTAAAAATACATCCAAAAATACAGGTTTTTTAATATAAATACATTATAAAACAAAACATAAACAACAAATACAGAATTTACTTAGGTCACAGTACTAAGAAATGTTGTTAACTCAGGACAATGGGCACTGCATTTAGTCTTAAATTTAATTAATTCAAATCATGTGAATACTCATTGCTACTACCTAATTCAAATCTATGAGAAAGGAGGCAAATAGATTAAACAAGTAGAATTTTAATTTAATTAATGGATCAATTTTAACTTTAAAAACCTATAATTTATATCATAGAAATATGGAGAAAGAAGTTAAAGGGAAAACACAAAATGTTTCAAAGCAAAACCACAAACAAACTGCATAAAACAATATAGAAATGTTAAAATAAAATATGCCTATGAAAATGTTTCTTTCAGAGATTATAGTATAAACATTTCCAATTGTTAGCATTTGATGTAAAATTATGGAACTGAAATAATTTAAAGAATTTACAGTGCATTTTCAATATAACCTGAAATGTATATAAAACAAAAACACATGCATTGTCTTTTCAGTTTATCCTCTCAAGAGCACTGTTAGTTGAGGCATACTTTTAGATCATGAAGGAGAGTGTTCTGGGAAGTCACTTCTTCAAGTATGGAAAGAGGTTACAGTTAGAACGTAGGACAGCCAGCTTTTTAATTCATACATTTGTATAATCAATCATTCATGTATCAAAGGTTATATATGAATACCCGTTATATGTCAAATATACTACATTGAACATGAGAGATTCTGCATATAATTCTTGCTGTTATGCAAATTAAAACACATTTTAAAATTAATATTGTGATAGTATTCTGTAAAGAAAAAGAGGAAGCTGAGTATTTATAGTGAGAAAAATCTAGTGTAGCTTAGGTCAGCAAAGACTACCTAGAGAAAACAACAGTGTTTATTCTATGCATGATGTATTGGATTTTCCACAGCTTTTCTAATTTCATGTATTGTGTTTCATTGTATGCCAAGATTTTCAAGGCATGAGTCCTAATTTTGGCTTAAGAAAATGATGACAGTCTTGTCACTTTACTATTAAAACAAAATGTGTGCAGAAATGTCTCAGGACACATTTTATTTGTACATACAACCCCTACCTTTGACTAAATAAATGCTTCTTCAGATAAATATTTCAACTTTTAAATCTGATAAATTAATTCAGGAAAGTTTCAGGATAAAATATTAATGTACAAAAATTAGTATCATTTTTATATACCAATAATGATCAAGCTGAGAATCAAATTAAGAAGGCAATCTGATTCACAATAACAATAAAAAAATAAAATACCTAGGTATATATCTAACTAAGGATATATTTAATTGAAAAATCTTTGCAAGGAAAACTAAAAAACACAGATGAAAGAAATTGTAGATTGACATCAACAAATAGAAAAACATCGCATGCTCATAGATTGAAAAAAATTAATATTGTTAAAATGACCATAAAGCCCAAAGCAATCTCCAAATTCAATGCAATTCCTATCAATATACTAACATTATCACAGAATTAGAAAAAACAATCCTAAAACTAATATGAAACCAAAAAAGAGCCTGACTAGCCAAAGCAATCCTGAGTAAAAAGAAAAAAGCTAGAGGCATCACATTACCTAACTTCAAATTATACAAGGCTATAGTGACAAAAAGAGCATGGTAGTGATATAAAAATAGACACATAGATTAATGAAACAGAACAAAGAACCCAGAAAGAGAGCCACATATTTATAGCCAACTGATCTTTGACAAAGTTGACAAAATCATGTACTGGGGAAAGGACAGCCTTTTCAATAAATGGTCCTGGTAAAATTGGATTGCCAAATGCAGAAAAATAAAACTGGACTCCTATTGTTCATGATATGCAAAAGTCAATTCAAGATGGATTAAAGAGTTAAACATTAGACCCGAAACTATAAAATACTAAAAGAAAACCTGGTGAAAACTCTTCTGGACATTGGCTTAGGCAAAGAATTCATGACTAAGACCTCAAGAGTATAAGCAACTAAAACAAAAATAGGCAAATAGGACTTAATTAAACTAAAAAGCTTCTGCATGGCCAAAGAAATATCAATAAATTGAACAGACAAGCTGCGAAATGGGAGAAAATATTTGCAAAACTATGCATCCAACAGGGGACTAATATTCAGAATTTACAAGGTTCTCAAGTAACTCAACATCAAAGTAAAACCACATAGCCCTATTAAAAAGTGGGCAAGGGATGTGAATAGACATTTTTCAAAAAAAAAAAAAAAAACCTAAAAATAGCCAACAAACATATGAAAAAATGCTCAACATCACTAGTCTTCAGAGAAATGCAAATTAAAAGCACAATGAGATATCATACCAATCAGAATGGCTTTTATGAAAAAGTAAAAAAATAACAGATGTTGGTGAAGAAGCAGAGAAATGGAATTCTTATGCACTGTTCATGGGAATCTAAATTAGTATAACCTCTATGGAAAAGAGTAGGAGTATTTCTCAAGAAACTAAAAACAGAACTATGATTTGATCCAGCAATCCTACTACTGAACATCTACCCATAAGAAAATAAATCATTACATTAAAAAGATATCTGCACCAGTATGTTTGTTGCAGTACTGTTCACAATAACAAAGGTGTAGAAGCAACATAAGTGTCTATCAATGGATGATTGGATAACACATATATACATACATACATACATACATACGTAAAAATAGCAAAGATGTGGAAGTAACGTAAGTGTCTATCAATGGATGATTGGATACACATACATACACAATGGAATACTATTCAGCCACAAAAATGAATAAAATCATGTCTTTTGCTGCAACATGGATGGAACTTGAGTTCATTCACTTGAATGAAACAACTCAGAAACAGAAAGTCAAATACCACATGTTCTCACTTTTAGTGGGAGCTTTAAAAAAAATTTGTGCACATGGACATAATGTGTAGAAAAATTGACATCAAAGACACAAAAAATGGGAAGGTGGGAGTGGGGTAAGAGATGAGAAATTAATTAATGGGTACAATGTAAATATTCCGCTGATGGTTACCCTAAAACTCACACTTCACCACTATGCAATATATCAATGTAACAAAACTTCACTTTTACCTCTTAAATTTATACAAATATTAAACATCAAGATTTCAAAATAGGGTTAAATTACAAAATACCTGCTGTTGTTGTAGTGAGATAAAGTTATTTCCAGAAGAATACAGCTTAAGCTGTTTCATTATTACTGAAAACTAAGATGAGGATGAGACAAAAGTGGAAGTTTGGAATGGAACAGTAGGAAGGAGGGCAAATTGTACATATTTCAATAATAGGCACAAGTTCAAAATGCATTGCAGAGTTCTCGAATGTTCTCTACATGTGAACTAACCAAGGCTGATCTAATTAAAACCAACTGTGTACTTAATGCACGGAAAAGGAAAGGACAACAAGGTATGGAAAGTTTGGGTTCTAATCTTAGCTCTACCATTTACTAATTAAGTGATTTAATTTCTCTAAGCCTCAGCTCCTATCTTATAGAATGGAGAAAATAGCATATAACATTTCTGGGAAAATTTCATGGCATAAAATGTATGACTGCATTTTGAATATAGAGGTGTAAAATGATTCTAAAGCATTAATAGAAATAGTATTAAAAACGATGGCTTAGATCAAGATTATAATATACTTTTTTGAAGACTCGAAATTGCAAATTATAGTAGTCCTTCATTTCTCTAAACAATTTATTTTTTCATGAGTAAGACTTAAAAATAATTTAGTCCTAATTAAATTACTGGGTAAATTTCCATCAACTTGAGAATTGCATCTTCGTCACATCTTACCTAAAGGACTGCAAGCTACTTGCTTTTCTAAATTCTTGACCATTAATGTGGACTACTGCCATGTGATGCTATATTCCAAAGTTCTTAAAACACCTCTATCCCCATGCAACTTTCAAACTATGTAGGTCATATTATCATAATGTACAACACTACAAGAATCATAATTTTGTCTTAACTGTTCAGTATGAAAATCACGCTTGTGGCAACCACGTAGAACCAAATTAAAATGACTGTAAGAATTGCAGACAGGTGCACTGGCAGAGGACGATTCCTCACTTTCAACATTTAAGAAAAATTTCCTTGCCAGCCTCTTTTTCCTAATGAGCCATATTGATGATGACGGATTTTAAAAGAACGAGACTACTACAAAAATCAATGTATTAGTGAGATGAACATATGTTAACTTCCGAAAACGACTGATAAAAAAAGAAAAGATAAAATATATTACATTGGTCCCTAGCCTATTACACCATATGTCCTAACTCAAGAACCAGGCGAAATACTGTAATGTGTACATAAAAAATGGAAAGAACTTCCATATACTTATATTCCAATTGGAGGGGGGAATGCAGATAAAGAGAGCAGCAACGTAAATAATATCAAGAGAATGGGAACTATTCTCTTTACATTTTTGCTGTTTCCTCCAAAGTGTTCTTCCACGTTTTGTTCAACAAATTTTAAGTGATTCTAATAATGTACTTTACTCACTTCCTTTAGGCGATGATTCTATGGGCTGGTAGATTTTACTGCTTAGAAAATAACACTGAAACATACTCAATTTGTTCTCTCTGTAATTCTAAGTACTTGTTGCAAGTTTGTTAGTTTGCCCTATGCCATGCGTCTGAGCAAGAACTGTGTATTACATCTGGACTTAGTGCTCAGTAAAATGTTGTTCTTTATTATTTCTTTAAATTGGAGGAGGTATGATTGACATCATTTAAGAAAATTTTTTAAAATCAAAAACAACATGCAAACATGCAAAGAGGTTTCTCTGGATTCCCCCAGCAACTGCTCTTGCAGAACCTGTTGCTATATCCTTTCCAATTATACAGAAAGCAACCTATCTCCTTTCTGCGTCAGATTCATGAATCGGCTTTAGGAATTTTCAGGCACCATAAAACTCTGCTAAATCACTTAGCATTCTGCTTCAGTTTCTCCTAACAGCATTTACTTTGTTTACTTTGCAGTCTTTGAATGCTTCAGTGGCTTTGATGCCCTTATGTCACTATCCAGCCCCAAGACAAACCCTGCCCAGGGCAGAGCCTTTGCAGAGTATCATTTAAATGCAGATGAAATAGCCGCTTTCTGGGATCCATTGTTGATGACTCCACTTTGTTCATGATGCAGAATATTGCTTCTAGGAAATGATGATGAACTGTTTAAGAACCTTATCGAGTATCTATTTTGACTATATTTCATAAAACAATCTTTCATAGATATAAAATTTGTAATTCACATAACACTCTTCTGAAAAACATAAATCTGATTCTGTTTTTCTGTACCTGTATTGAAGTACAATTATAGGATCAACTGTCTACATAGCTGAGTCTTAAAATAAATGTTAACTTTCCACTTTACTTTGCCAATCGTAACTTGGCTGCTTACAATTAAATGTTAGACCATTTTTACCCCCAGGGAACTAAGATTTGAAAAACTCATATTCCACTACCTAGAAACAAAATAATGGTCTTAGATTTTCTTTTCTCACGAAAAGACACTATTGAAGGTGACTAAGCCAAAGATGATTTAGGACATGTTATGTTGTCTGAAGTATGCTGTTCTGAAAAAGAAAACATGCTGGATAGTCGAGCACAGTTTGAGATGATCCAGATAACCAATTTTTAGTTGGTCCCATCCAGAAAGAGTCCTAAGTGCCTGTACTGAAACAGTTCAGTTTACTAAATTAATTGGGTTTTAGAACTTGAATCCCTAGAATCATGGTGGTGGTACAACTAATGAGATATTCTCCTGGTAGAATAAGGACTGGCATTTACCACAAAGCAGGGCTGCAAAATTACCTCCCCTGGGCAATGTTAACGTGCATCTATTCAAGCCTCTCAGAGAACTGAAATTTAGAAAGATTTAGTCATGGCTGGCTTCCCAATATTGATCAATTTTAAGAATTTATCATTTTCCTAAAATGTCCTCTTTCTTTCTCATCTATTTTGGAATGCATACGCACCTCATTAAATTATTATTTTTTGTCTTTTGTGGGTGTGGTTGGTAGTAAAGTATTAAATTCTTTCCTCAGCTTTATCTTTGAATTCCTTTATGGTGCATCATATGTAAAGCATGGTTACCCAAGCTTCTTTATTTCTCTGCATCAACAAACTATGCATCCACCTCAATAATATGTGATAAATTCAAATCTCTATTAGCTTTTTAAAGATTTATAAAATTTCTTTCATTTAAAATAGATTTCTTAATTTTGACTTGCTTATACTCTTACATTTTTCCTATTTCTCTAAAGTTCACCCACGTTCAGTATTTATAATTTACACTAGTTCCTTAACATGTAGTGTTTTAATGATTTTATAACACAATATTAATTTTATAACACAATATTAATAATATAGTGGACATTTTGAAATGCCACTCCTTATTCCTCAATATATCATTTTAGAAATTGTGATACATTCTACTATAATATATATAATTTTTGGTCATTGAATCAAATATTTCAGAACATCAAGAGACTTCACAAGTGTTTCCTCATAGGACTTGGTTTTGTTAATTTTGCAACAAAAATAAAAGATTATATGTGGAAATCAGTTTTGCAAGCTGTATCAATAGTTGGAAAAATACTCTTATTTTTATCAAGCATAGTCCAATACTTCATTTTCCTAAGAAAATAATGACAGATACAGTTAAAGATCTATACACAAACCGAGTTAAAAAGAGCCTGACCCACAGACAGAAATGTGTAACCTATTAATTCATAAGATAGAGTATTTTTTATAACTGATAAAAATATTTTCAAATAATTTTATAGTATTTTAAAAGGGACAAAATTGTAAGTACAGAATGTCAACAATATGAATATGTACATGTATAAGTATATACATATATGAATATATGTGTGTATTATACACATATACACATATGAATCAAAGAGCCTCAGAAAGAAGAGTACCAAAATGTTAAAATTGGACCTATCTAGGTGGTAAGATTTAGAGGTTTTTGTTCTGTCTGTTTATATTTCTCTATATTTGCTATGGGCATATATTATGCAACAAAGTAAAAAACTCATTTTTAGCCGGGCGCAGTGGCCCACACCTGTAATCCCAGCACTTTGGGAGGCCAAGGAAGGTGGATCACCTGAGGTCAGGAGAACCCCCGGCTCTACTAAAAATACAAAAATTAGCTGGGCATGATGGCCCACGCCTGTAATCTCAGCTACTCAGGAGGCTGAGGCAAGAGAATCACTTGAACCTGGGAGGCAGAGGTTGCCGTGAGCCAAGATTGTGCCATTGCACTCCAGCCTGGGCAACAAGAACGAAACTCCATCTCAAAAAAAAAAAAAAAAAAAAATCCATTTTTAGAGACAGAAAAAATTCTATTTTTCTTTAAAGAATAAAAATATAACAGTCCAGCCTTCTCAATATCTCTTCTCATGTAAAAGATAATATTTTTTAAAATGTCTGTCTATTTGCACAAGTAAAGTAACTACACCAGAAGTATAAACTCTAGTCTCCCCTATTCCAAAGTCACTCCCTGGGAATGAATCAAACAACAAAGATGTTTCCTGAACCCTTACAAAGAGTCAGGCACCATTTAATCACCATCAAAGCACCAAATAAATCCCAGAGGCCCCAGATCGAGGCAGTATGTGGGCCATCAACTCCGCAGGCACCTGCTAAGTAGCATCTCTGTGCACACTTAAAGCACACCTAGGAAACTTTTCTGGCAGTAAGTGATTAGGCTACATATGTGACCAACAAGCAATTCCCCTCACTTCAATAGCAAAATAAAAGGGGAAATAAATGAAGTTACTTCCCTTTTGTACTCAGTTGATAAAACAAGTCTCAAATTGAACAATTGGCCCATTTTACCTTTAATAATGCCTTAGTTCACACTATGTTTTTTTTTTTACAGGTATTGATCTTAAAATTATAAAATCTTAGACTTTCAAGAGCGTTTATAAATCATCTCGACATCTGAGTCTCCACAGTTAAAGTCCATACAAATGATCTGGAGATATTGTTAAAATGAATTTCCTGAGCTCCACCTTCAGAAATTCTGATTTGACGGGCTAGAAATTTATACTGGAAAAACATCTCCAGTGTAACTAGGATTCGGGTGGCCTGTGGATAACTTTTTTTTGCACTTGAACTGTGGTTCTCATACCTATAAAATCCTTTGAAAACACAATTAACAAATACATTCATTTCCTAAAAAGGGAGAAAAGAATAATCGTTAGCAAGTTTAAGATTACCTATACATCTTTAAGTTATATTTATTTGACACAACCAGGTGACTTCCACATCCTCATTTATGTTCACAGCACTCCAGTTTGGTAAAATAAAATTTAGAAAACACAATAAAACAAACTAAAAACAAAACTACCCTAGTAGATCAAAGAAATAGAACTAACATTGGCTTCAGTAGACCCTCAATACTTTACTAAAAAGTCAGTAGTGTTATAGAATTCTTTTCTTTTTTCTTTCTTCTTCCTTTATTTCTTTCTTTTTTTATTTTTTATTTTTTTTTTATTTTGAGACAGGGTGTCTGTCTGTAGTCCAGGCTGGAGTACAGTGGAGTGATTATAGCTCTGGGACTACGAGCACATGTTGCCACACCTGGCTATTTTTTTATTTTATAGGGATGGGAACTCGCTATGTTGACCAGTCCAGTGTTAAACTCCTGGCCTAAATTGATCCTCTGACATTGGCCTCCTAAAGTGTTTGTATTACAGGCATGAGCCACCATGCTCAGATGTTTTATAATTTTGAAGAGGGAATCTCCAAGAAGTTCAACTGGTTTGTAACAATTTCTAAAGCAGAGGAAACTTTTCCACTAGGCACAGTAAGCACAATAGCAAGGCTCCACACTATTTTTAACATTCAATAAACTGTTTTACCTTCTTTTATGGTTAGAAAAACAATTGACCTCTAAGAAGAAAATGTTTTAATACATATTATCAAGATATTTGTCTTTATATCAACACAAATATAACATATAATTTTTAATGAGAAAAAGGAACCATGATGGCAAAGTTGCTTAGGGACCATGAAAGTTAAATTCTTGCCCACTCCTTTAAATAACTAGGCTTGCTCTTATTTGTTAATCTCACTACCCTGACAGACATTCAATTCTGCCCTTGCCAACCCTGGGTCCTCAAAAGCCTCCTCACCATATATCTTTGTTTGTGCTTCCAAACTGTCAGGCTCAGTTGACTGACATCACTAAAAACATGTGTGAAATAGCTTACTTGGGCTTCAAATGGCCTGTCCTGAATTTTCAATGCTCTGTGTCAATCACTACCTCTAGCAGCAATGCTTAATCTTATGAGCTTTCAAGCTCGCAATGTTTTCCTGGTCGCTTATTCTCTGCAGACAAATTTCCTTTATTAAGGTATTTAAGGACTCCGGGAAATTTTTTCCTTTATATTTGGGCTCCTTCTTATGCATAATCTTTATAGCATTACCACTCCTTTTCTTTCCCTCTTTTCTTCCTTGCTCCCTCCCTTACTGTCTCTCTTCCTCCCTTCCGTCTTCTCTCTTCCTTTCTTCCTACGTCTGAAAAAAGAAAGTCACTGTTCTAGTTGAATACACCCTTCTATTTTTAAATTTGTTTCTGCATAGTTACTAATAACTTTTGTTGCCATTTCTCTATTTTTTTTTTTGAGGTAACGTTTCACTCTGTCACCCAGACTGGAGTGCAGTGGTACAATTCCATATTCTTCTTGATTATTCTATACATGTATTTACTATCAGCAATTCTCACTCATTGTTTAAAATCTCTCCTTTCTTATCTCCCAGTACACCCCCAAAGATGTGTTTTGCCTCTAACTTTCCTTCTCTGCCTACATGAAAGAACAGACTATTGTGCCTGTTAAATTCATTATATTTATAGTTTCATTTAAATTATATTCATCATGTCTCCTCACCATTTACCCCACAGCTAGCTCATTATCTTCTCTGTCTTTGTTGATATCTCTGCCGAGGATCAAAGCCCTGGGTCATTTCTGACTTCTAGTTTTTCTTCTCCATACATGTATAATCATTTTCTGAGTCCCTAAGATTCTACATCCACCATATATCTCTTATATATTAATTTTTTTATTTTGATCACTTAAAATCAGATTTAATACTCTTGTGAAATATTAGTATATTCCTTCTTCTAGTTCTTCATTTTTGATGATATATACAACTAGAAATAATTTTAATTGATTCCCTGTTCAAAATATTTCAATGACTCTCAGTATCGTTACTTTTTAGCTTGTCTATATGACTCCAACCTTGAAATTTTATGCTTACATTGGCCATTATCATTACCATTAGAGACATGAATGCTATGAACAAGGATCCTTCTTTTTTTTTTTTTTTTTTTTTTTTTTGAGATGGAGTTTCGCTCTTGTTGCCCAGGCTGGAGTGCAGTGGGGCAGTCTTGGCTCACTGCAGCCTCCACCTCCTGGGTTCAAGTGATTCTCCTGCCTCAGCCGCCCCAGTAGCTGGGATTACAGGCGTCCACCACCACCCCCGACTAATTTTTGTATCTTTTTTTTTTTTTAAGTAGAGACGGGGTTTCACCATGTCAGCCAGGCTGGTCTCAAACTCCTGACCTCAGGTAATCTACCTGCCTTGACTTCCCAAAGTGCTGGGATTACAAGTGTGAGCCACTGCACCTGGCCTGCATTTTATTCTCTTTTGCCACCATGCCTGACAAAAAGCTTGGCACATAAAACATATGTTAAAAAATGTTTTTTGAATGAATTGATGTATTTTTTTTTTACTAACAACTTAAATCTTTAAAGACTTGGAGAAATTATAGGCCTGTAAAAATACACACATACAAATTAGTATAGCCATTATGGACAACAGTATGGAGGTTCCTACAAAACTAAAAATAGAATTACCATATGATTCAACAATCCCACTACTGGGCAGATATCCCAAGGAAAGGAAGTCAGTATGTTGAAGAGTTATCTGCATTCCAATGTTTATTATAGCACTATTCGAAATAGCCAAGATGGAAATCAACCTATGTATCCGTCACAAAAAGAATAAAGAAAATGTGGTATAGTATACACAATGGAATGCTATTCAGCCACAAAAAGAATGAAATTCTATCATTTGTGGTGACATGGATGAGGTTGGAGGACATTGTGAAGTGAAATCAGCCCAGGTACAGAGAGAGAAATACTGCATGATCTAACTTATATGTGGAAGCTAAAACAGTTGTTTTTTTAGTAGAGAGTAGAAGACTGGTTACTAGAGACCAGGAAAGTAGGAGGAAGGGAGACTAGCTAGAGGTTGGTTATCATTTACAAAAGTAGAGTTACATAAAAAGAATAAGTTCCAATGTTTTATAGTACTATAGGGTAACTATAATTAACAATTTATTGTATATTCTCAAATAGCTAGAAGAAAGGATTTTGATGTTCCCAAGGCAAAAAATAGGTGTTTGAAGTGCCGGATATGCTAATAACTCTGATTTGATAGTTACACATTGTACACATGTATTGAAATATCCCACTGTTCCCCAATAATACGTACAATTATTTTGTGCCAATTAAAAATAATGATAAAACCAAAAAATAAAAAAGAGAACTTTTATTCTAGTAATATGATTTAAAACATAATAATGAGGTCCAAGATCATAGAGATAATGAGCATAATTGGTTTTTGTTCTAGTGTTTCTGTTGTTTTTCTTCATTTTCTAACACAATTTTAGCACAACTTTAAAAGTTTTTGAACAAATTTTGAGTAATTGTGAAACTGATTTAGGAGAGGTGCAGAGGAACCCTCATTCATAGGGAAGTGGGAGCATAACACAAATATTTTAAAGCTATGCATCCAAAACTTAGGTGTTTACTATTATTATGCTATAAATTCTGTGAGTACAGAGATCTTGTGTTTTTTATATTCACCACTTTCCATGCCTTGTTGAAAAACAAACAAGTTATATAAACTTTAAATATGCACACATTTAATAATTATTTAGTAAGTGCTGACTACATGCCCAGCACTATTCTAGACACTTTAGATACATCAATGAACAAAGCAGAAAAAAAAATCCTCCAAAAAGTTTATATCTGGTAGAAATATTCTATCAAAAACAAACACATAAAATCTAAAATGTTCAGATGGTGATAAATGCTATGGTATAAAATTAATTAGGGCAGGGAATGAGACAGGGTATGTGGGAGTTGAATACTATAATTTTAGATGGAGAAGTCATGGCAGACATCCCTAAAAAAGTATAATTTTTGCAAAGACTTCGAAGATGTGAAAGAGCCAGACATGTAGATATCTAATGATAGATAATTGTAGGAAGGAATAAAAGGAAGTGCAGAAGTCCTGTGGCAAAATAAGGTATATATACCTCACACTTCTGAGGAACAGCAGGAAGGCCAGCATCACAGTAACTGAGCGAGACATAGATTCAGGAGTGGAAAATGAAATCAGAGAGGGTTAGGGTACAGATTATGTAACGTCTTGTGAGCCTTCACCTTTTTTCAATGTATGATGGGCAACAATTAATAGCTTCAAGCAGAGTTGTGGCATCATCTAAATTGCACCCCAAAAGATGTCCCGGGCTGCTAGATACATGTATGGAGACTAGGGAAACAAGAATGGTGGAATAGAGAGGACGGATAGAAACTTTGGGGAGGGTGCCAAGCCATTCATGAGGGGCCCGTATTCATGACCCAAACACCTCCCAGTAGGCCCCACCTCCAACTGGGGATCACATTTCAACATGAGATTTGGAGGGGACAATCATCCAAACTATATCATTTGCTAAGGTATTCAACCCAAATTGTGAGAGAAAGAAAGGAATGGGAAGTGATATAAATGACTTCAGCCTGAGTAACTCAAATTGTCAATTTTTATGATGCCGAAGGCTATAAGAAAAGTAGATTCGAGAAGTACCAAGAAGTCAGTTTTGTACATGGTACATTGGGATGTCTACTAGCTATCTAAGTGTAAATGTCAACTCTACAGACAAATGTATGAGTCTGGTGTTCAGGAAAAAGGTCCAGGCTGCATAGATAAATTTTTGTCATCGTTGTATAGATAGTATTTAGTTTCATCAGCACTGTTGAAAATATCAACATGGTGAGTATAGACAGAAAAGAGAAGAAGGGCAAGAAGCAATTTTAGAAGCAAGAAGCAAGCTCCCGGGCTCACACAGAGAGGAAGTAGTCAGTGGGGCAGGAAGGAAACTAGGAGATATTGAAGTTTTGGAAGACAAGTGAAACCAATATTTGAAAAAGACAAAAATGATTATCTGTTTCAAATGCTAAATTCAAGTAAGATAGGTCTGAGAAATAGCAAGTAAATTTTACAGAGTGTTGGATATCGGTAACTTTCAAAAGAGCAGTTTCAGAGGAGTGGTAAAGACAAAAAAGACTGATGAAGGAGTTTAGAGATAAAATGAAGAGAAATTGAAGACAGTAGGCAGCAAAACTCACAAGGAGTTTTATTTTCAAGGGGAACAGAGAAAACGAGTAAAATTAAGGATATGGGGTAAAGAGAGAAAGAGATGGGGTTGTACTATTTTTAAAGTAATACGGAGGAATTGCAAAAACAATTATCTCCTGATTTTCAGATCTCCCATGCATGTTATATGTAAGTTTTTAAATAGAAATAACCCGGTCAAGGCCTGGCGCGGTGACTCATGCCTGTAATCCCAGCACTTTGGGAGGCCGAGGCAGGTGGATCACGAGTTCAGGAGTTCAAGACTAACTTGGCCAACCTGGTGAAACCCTATCTCTACCAAAAACTACAAAAATTAGCCGGGCATGGTGGCACACACCTGTAATCCTAGCTACTTGGGAGGCTGAGGCAGGATAATCACTTGAACCTGGGTGGCAGAGGTTGTAGTGAGCCGAGATCGCACCACTGCACTCCAGCCTGGGAGACAGAGCAAAACTCCGTCTCAAAAAAAAAAAAAAAAAGAATAGAAAAGAAGAGAAATAACCCAGTCAAGATATACATTACAAAATAATATTTTTTTCGGGATAATGCGAATGTTCTCTTGAGAAAAATTAATCACCTTACTAAAAGGGTACAGAACTAGTAAAACTTGTATGTATGTATCTTAGGAAGTATTTTTAAATATTGCTCAAGAAATATTTATTAATCAAAAAATAAACCATAGTCTAGATATCTAGGTAGGCAATGAATTTACTAAAAAATCTAAAATATGATTTTTAGGATATATGATGATAATTCAATAGTAAGCAACCAAGATGTAGGATTGAGTGTGTTATACCGGTATACGAAAAAGTGTTACAGTCTCTCACATTCTGATAAACTCTAATTTGAATTACAAAGAAAAGCACTTAAAATTTTCCAAGAAATAAATTCTAATAGGAGGAGAATTTATAGTATTTTGTTTATATTGTAACTGATTAGTTAAGATTACAAAACTATATATCACACTTAATAAATATTTTAAAATAAAAGTTTTAATGCAGAAAACAACATTATATAGAGTTTATATAATTTTAGTTATCATTTTAGTAGTAAAAAGTAAAATTTGAGGGAAAATACTTATCTTTCTAAACACTGGTTTCTAGAATACTAGATTGGGTGCTTTACAAGTTAATAAGCCTTATTGCACACATTGAACTTATTAGTATCCACTCTGTCACTTGTGAAAATTAAATAGGGTAAAGAAACAAAAATATTGATATCACATCTATACATTAAATATATATCAATCACTTAATGATAAAGCAAAAAGGAATGACTACATAAGAATGAAACCTTACTATTTTGTGTGACTCCCTCTTACCTCTGTGTTCTATCCTCCATGCTAAGTCTTGGAAGAAGTGCTATCATGAAGATGTTGAGAGAGAAGCTAATGTTATTTTTTCAGATGATCTCCTCAAATGGGGCCCTGAAGGAAAGATTCAAGCTAAAAGACTCCATTAGATATTCCCTTGGAAAATAATATAGTTATTCTTGAAATGCTGCAAAGGAAATAACTAGAGTAAATCTGATTTAGAGAGGAAAATTAAGTTAGAATTACTCAGTTCCAAGAAGTGGCTAAGGAAATATAGTCTATAAATGTAAAAGCTTGTTACTAACAAATCACTCCTTTATCTCACAAGTGTATGACATAGAAACTTATAGCTTCAGTAAACTTAGGAACCTGTGTATTTACTGCTATTTCTTCCTTAACTCTGTGATTGAGACTGAACACAGAGTAATTGCCAAGAAGAGGATGTATGTCAAATTACTATACAGATTAAACTAGTCAACTTATGGGAAGCATAAAATAAGAATTATGCAATTCTATTAACTGAATGAATAATAAAACCTTAGGAAATATTTTAAGTAAATTGTCACATCATATTTATTCTAAGTGCTGGGAGAAATATGCCTTAAACATTTATTGGCTTATGATAATGTATCACACATATTCTTTATGAAATTAACTGATTTACACTTTGATTTCTGTTTGATAACTTCAAATCCTAAACATGCAGTTCTTTGCAATTATGCAGTAATAGATGTAAATTTATTGAGGACATTTCTAATGTCAATTTTGATGCTATATTGCCATACTAATGAGGACTAAACTATATGTTTTGGATTTTTATTTGGAAAACATTTCCACCATATTACTAAATTCCTTCAAATAGACAAGAGAATTGAAGTAGTTATTTTAGGCCTGGTTCCAGTGGCTCATGCCTATTTTCCCAACACTTTGGGAGGCCCAGATGGGAGTATCTCTTGGGCCTGGAGAGTCAAGGCTGCAGTGAACCTTGATTGCACAACTGCACTCCAGCCCAGGCAACAGAGTGAGACCCTATCTCAATAAATAAAGCAGTTATTTTAGGATAAAGGTTCCTAGCTATATATGAAACTAAAAGCAAGAGAAAGAGAGAGTCAGATGAGTCTGTATAGACAGATTATATAAGCAATTTGATTTTTTAAAGAAAAACCATTAATATTTCAAATACAAAAGAATTGTGTACAGTCAGCCCTCCATATAGATGGGTTTTGCATCCATGAATTTAACCAATGGCAGAGCAAAAGCATTCAAGAAAAAAAAAAGATGGTTGCATCTGTACTAAACAGGTGTAGACTTTTCTTTTTTTTCCATTATTCCCTAAACAATACAGTATAATAACTATTTACTTAGCATTTACATTGTATTAGATATTGTAAGTAATCTAGAGATAATTGAATGCACATACTACACCATTTTTATATAAGGGACTTGAGAATCTGTGTGTTTTGTTATTCCTGGGGGTCCTGAAATCAACCTTCCACAGATACCAAGGGAGGACTGTACTTCTTGGAGATTTGATTCTCCACAATGTTAAGCAAACACAGAACTCATTTATTTCCAAAATCAATTCAAATATTAGTACTCTTTAAAGCATGAGTATATACTTTAGAGAGAAATTCATCCCAGTTTCTGCACTGAAAGTCCCAGGTCTCCGGAAACCCTTAGGTCCAGGACAAATTAGAAATCTTGGTATGTGTTGGTGACCTCAAAATAAAACTTTTCATTTAATTAACTAGTGGTTCTAAAGTAGGATTGAAATTGAGAATCACGATTTAAAACAATAAAAACATGCATGTTTTATCCTTTGATATACTAAATAGTAGATCAAATCATATTGAATCACATGGGTAAAATACAGTAAGGCCACTTTCAGAATGCTTATTAATTTAATATTCTTCCTTAGACATATTCTTTTTTTTTTTGCTAAAGTCCCAGTAGAAATATAGTTCAAAAGTAAGTCACTTTTATCTTGCATTTCTATAAGAGCTTTCTTACTTTGCCCTTTTTCTATTTATTCCATTAGGTATTTTCAAAAATTTTGACTTCGTTACGTATTCTACTTATACAAACAATATAGTGATTGCATGTTACCACCCAACAAAATTTGTAATACCTTCTAATACTTAATTGCCTTTTGCTCAATTTGCTTCAACTCCAATTATGCTACAAAGAGCACTGTGACTAGCGACATCTAGGTAACCACTAGGCAAGCCTACTTTTTGCACTTATCCTCATTAAGTTACTCACTATTATTTTTTACCAGTAATATTATAATAATGTTATTTCTATGGCCTGAAATCAATACCTTCAACATATATTATCTGACTCAAAATACTTTAAAGTTCAAGACTCATATTAAGATTGCCTGCACTATCCATAACCCTCCTCCCATAAGTACCAGAACATCCTTTATCAATCATTTTAAAATAACAAAGTGTTTTTTAAAGAAAAGTTATTTTTAACATTTTCTGAAATTTTGTGATAATTTGGAGGGAGTAGATAATTAATAAAACAATTATAGTAAGGTGGAAGTAATGGTAAAATATGTCAATAAGAAAAGTTTTATGGGTATCTTGATGATAAAATTGTCTCTCCAACCGGAAGTTTTATCTAATACATATTCAAGATATGATTTACCTAATTGGTTACTCATTTAGATATCTTTACAAATCTATAGTAAATTACAAAAACTCTGATTTCTGAACTATTAAATTTTTAGATGTACATTTGACTTAATATACGTGTATTTTCCTCTTTAGTAGTGACACTAAAACAAATTCTAATACTTACTGAAATACGAAAACTCATTTCTTACTTTTCTTTGTATTTGAAATATATAAAATATTCTTATTTCTCTGTACAGTGTGTTTTATGTCTAATATGGAATAATTAAAATTAAGTATTTAGAACTATAATATCATAAAGTACTAATAAGTTCACATAACCATAAAACCTAAGCTCATTTTATATACATGAGTTCCTTTAAAGCATCACCCACAAAAATAATTTGACTTTATCCAAGTTACATTTTTTAATGTTTAAATATACCCTCATAAACACTAATAAACACTGATAAAAAAAAGTAGTGTCTTTCTTATTTACATAACATTTTGGTAACTATACCACAGAAAGAAAGGCTTAAATATTGAAATTTTTTTAAAAAAATATAGAAAATTATATAGTAGTCGATATCAAATAAAAATTACCTACAACTGCAAAATTTCTGGAACATATCTATACATACGTGTGTATGTATTTTTCTTATTTCTTGGAAACTAAGTGACTCTTACAAGAAATGCTTGAAAATAGCATCACAATATTCTATACATAATAATTATGTTGGAAAATGTATTGTTATTAAAGAAATCTGTATGACTGAAGCTTATGTTTTTGAAATTGGCTTCAGTCACCATCATAGCTATTATTTATAAAAAAGTGCTGAATAAAATTATTTGGTTTCTAGTTTAATGTAGCAAACAATTGTTATATCATGAAGGTTGGAAGATGCCTGTGAGAAGAGAACCACATGTTATGATACATATGTCCTTATTTAGGAAGGTATATTATAAGATAAATTGATATTTAGAATATCAGTTTTGGTTTCCAGTTTTTCATTAGCAATCTCAAAATTCACTGTTGTGTAGAATAATTTGGGCTGTTCAGTAAAATGAGTAACAATGTATTTGGAATGTTTTAAATATTTGTTTATGTAGGTCTGAGATAAAGGGTAACAATTTCATAAAATACAGAATCAGCAAAGTAATTTTTTCCAGGTAGGGACAATTCTGACAATTTCCAATACTAGTGGCAAATTTTTTGAATGCCACAATTCTTCTATCACTTCTCCACCTAACATATTCCAAGTAAAGTGAAAGTAGGTCAGGTTATTTTACAACATATGAACTCCATTATATCTTCTCTGTGGTAACCTTACTTAGCCATTCTGTCTTTGTGACTATTACAAACTGTTACTGCATATGTCATTTTGGTTTTTAAGTTCAATATAATTATATGACTAGTTGATTTGTATGTAAAACATGTGCTAAGTTAACATTATTAGCAAATAAATTAAACTGAAGTTTTCAAATTTTCCTCTTGACAGATTTAGAGAAAATAAAAACGTAGCTTGTAATAGTAAAAATAAGTTTTATTATATTCACATTTACTAACATTTTGCCATCACATAATGTGTGTCATTGAGCAGTGTTTAAAAAGTCACTATCTGTAAAATCATGCATAGCACCATTGAAAATGTATTTGCTTCTATTTTGTTACTATAGGGGCAATAATTAATTTGATAAAATAATTTGAGAAGGGCAAATGCAAATTAACCTTAGAACATCAGAAATTAACATGAAATACTATTTTTTTTAAAAAAGGGCACCACCAAGAAGAAAGTCAATCACCATTGACTGTTTGAAAGTAATTCAATTGCTCTATGAAAGAGAAATATAAGAGGCAGATATTGGTTTTAAAGAAGGGCACACCTTGCTAACATACTTTATTAGGAAAAAAGCCCTCAAAAAAGGAGAGCTAAACCTTCCCAACCATGACACAGATCATCATTTTAGAACAAATATTGAAGTTTGGTATTCTAAAGAAAGAATATAGAGAACAATACCTGGCTATCTTTGAAGTAAAAATTTGTGACTCAAGCATTACCTTGAGATATTTACAAATTTACCATTATTTCTTGCATATAATTACCACTAAAATATAAATATTTTTATTATTTATCAATTTATGTTTACTAGAAAACACAAAGGGAGTTTGGAAAGAGTTACTCCCATCAAGTAGCGAAAAACATAACATGTTGGACTAGACTAATCCTAGAAGAAAGCGGTGGCTGACAGCTGCTTGTATGTGCTTGTCCAGGTATGGAATGACTTCAGTTCTGGAAACCTGTTCTTTTACTTCCTATGGAAATATCACTTATTTTTCCCCTATTCTGTTAGCTTGAAAACAGGAACTATCTGATAATTTCACGTTTTCAAGCAAATAATTCCATACAAACTTACACACAGATATGTCTTGTGCCAGTCATACCTTAGGCTTTCAGTAAATATTTGATGATTTAATGAAACTCCAAAAACATGCCAACTAATACTACTTTAAAAAGAAAGTCACACCACCATCCCCACTACCCTCTCCAACTTTAACCAAGTTACATATAAGAAAATTAACTGATTGGCTTGGGAAAATATATTTAGAAATTATACAATTATGTTCAATGATGTTTGCATATATACGATTATATGTAATAAACAGTGGAGAAAATATGAATAAGACGATTACTGATCTGTAAGCTCCTTAACCATAGGACCATATATGTCCAGTTTCTAGAATAATCTATGTTGAATAAATAAATGAATTTTAAACCTCTAACTTGCATATGAGCATTGTTTAAAAAAAGAACCTACTTATAAATCTATATTGTTTAGTACACAGGACACATTTTCCCAGATAAATAATGTTTATAAATGATAAGGATTTAGGTCCTTTCACACAGTTTCACAAAAGCCCTTTATATAACTTATCTACAGGTCTGTACAAGTAATTCATTAGTCACTGATCAACATGTATAGTTCTATATAAGTTCTATGTATCTTTATATCTCATCATTAATATGTCTTGCTTGCTGTCAAAAGTAGTATGATACCTTAAAATAATTGGCACACTTGAAATATATCAATCAATTATTGCTGGGAAAATTAAATAAGGTCGTAACATTTCAAATGAAGGTTTCTGCCACTTGAGTAAGACTGGGGCTTTCTCTACTCCTGACTTCTTCCACCTGTCACACAATGAAATCACAGATTCTCTGCTTATAAACCACCAATATTGAATTCAGGGTCCTGCAGAATGTGGAACAGAGGGTGAAAATAAGGACTGTAAGCTACAGGAGCAAAAGGCCATATAAACCATGGCCATCTGCCAATGCAACACTCTTCTCCCAATAATTGAAACCATGATTTCTGTCACCCACCCTTTTCCTTCCATCTGAGAAGAAAACTGAGAATTGTGCCTACTGTAACTTCCATTTTTAATACCAATTAAATGTGACTGAAGTCTTCTCTTTATTCTACTAAGAAGAAAAATGTCACCTCACAACCTTGTTAGCCACATGTGAATTGCATATAAAGTATTTTTAGGTAAACTGATGAATTAACCAAACTGTAAATAACAATTTGGAAACAGATAGACATTGAACATTATCGTTTGTTTATTCCTCTACCCCCCTTATTCTTTTTTCATCCACATTTCGGAGAGCCAGGCTCTGGCAATAAGAGAATTTCAAACTAGAAGGTACGAAAGAATCAAATGTTTTGAGCAGTTTACAAACAATTTCTCAGTTTAAAATCTAAAAATGAGGACATTGATTTCGACCAATCTCTAAGGTATCTTACAAATCTGTAATTATAATTGAATCTTACAAAACAATAGAATGATTATTAGACAAATTTCCATGTGGTATAATTTGTGGTCTACAAGGAAATACAAATACCACAAAATGCTGAACAACTCAAAGAAAAACCCAAGTTAATTTAGAAGTATAATTGTTAGTAAAGGGAAAAATGAAAACTAGTTGATCTTGTTATATTTTTCAGGGGCAAAATATTGTCTTTGAAAAATAATCTAAAAGTCTATAAGAGGATATAAGTATACATAGTTTTTTCTTGTTTAGATATTTATTCTTTATAAAACATTTGGATTTAAAATTATGACCATATTTTTTGGCTGGGCATGGTGGCTCACGCCTGTAATCCCAGCACTTTGGGAGGCCGAGGCGGGTGGATCACCTGAGGTCAGGAGTTCAGGACCAGCCTGGCCAACATGGTGAAAATCCATCTCTACTAAAAATACAAAAATTAGCCAGGTGTGGTGGCAGTTGCCTATAATCCCAGCTACTTGTGAGGCTAAGGCAGGAGAATCGCTTGAACCTGGGAGGCTCAGGTTACAGTGAGCTGAGATTACACCATTGCACTCCAGCCTGGGAGACAGAATGAGACTCTGTCTCAAAAATAAATAAGTAAATAAAAATAAATAAAATTATGACCATATTTTTAAATATGTGATTGGCAGCCAAATCTTCAGGCGATGGTCTACTTGGTGTATTCATTGTTTTTGCTTTTTTAGACACACTCCATGGCCTAAAATTTCTGACATCACTGGTGGTTTAGTTTTTCACATCTTTATCAAAACCAACTCAGGATAGAAATAAATCCCTACCATTGGCTGATACACACTGTTTATTTAAAATACTCCTTTAGGGTAAGAAATTTACTTCCATTCATATGCTTTGGGAAGATTCCTGGATTCTGCTTCTATGATATTCATTTCTTGTTCAGAATTATAATAAATTAGGCTCTCTTCCTCTTGATATGGATACAGGTGTTCTTTAAATGTGTAAACAATATACTAACTCTTCAGAGAACTATTTTGAGAAATGCTATCAATGTACTTATTATCTTTAGCATAGAAACAACTTCTTTGAAAACAATTTAAGAAATCACATTTTTTCTTTGCTCCGGGATTTCTCAATTGCTGTTGAGGAAATGTACGTAATTTCTCTCACATTTTCTTCAGATTTTAGTTAATGAGAAACTTCAGAAGATCATTACGACCTCTAAGTAAAACCAGTGTCAACATCTACAACTACATCTGTGTGTCTTAGTGATTTTCCACTGTTCTGCATACCAAGCTATGGAAGCAAATTGGAGGTATAAGGCAATTTATTTTTATTCGATAATCTGTAATTGAGCAGAAAAAATAGCAATAGGTTTATTTCTTTCTCTTGCTACTTATTGTTTCTGAATTGCCACAGCTTTCTCATAAGAAAATATAATTTTTTTCATTAATCATTAAATACATCTTTAAAAGATAAACTTTGTCATTTTAATTATACCATCTGGTAATTAAAATTGAGAAATATTAGGTGACCCTTCAGTAATTAGCAATCAAATAATTGAAAGAAACAGAAAATACATTCAAACTCCCAGGCCTATCTGTGTAATGTGCATAGTTTTCTATAAAGTGATGGAACATCTCCAGAAAACAACTAACAAAGTACATTTGAAGTGCCTTGAGAATATGGCACCTAAGTCTTTCACCTTTATTTCAGTTCAACCAGCCACATTTATTACCAGGGAATACTCCAGGTCAGTAATCTAAATCACAGTATCCCTCACTTTAACTACAACCTCCTTTTCTATCAGGTTTTTCAAAAGCTCATTTCTGGCAAATCTATTCTTCAAATTCTTAGAGACCACTCTTGTCCCAATTGTTTTAACTTTTTCCTGTCTATTTGAAATATCCTTTCTCCCTTTCTTCTCTAGTTTGGACTCAGCTATTTATTCACTGAATAATTATCTCATAAGATCATTTAAAGCACTCATATTACTATATGCTTCTACCATGCAGATTTAGCAAACTCATATCTGGGTCATTATCATGTGTCTTTTCATTCAATTACTGAAGCACAGCTTAAAACACACACATACTTAGACACATACACATCCCTCTGCTGTTTGGCATCATTGCAAAATTATTGTCTCCTCTTTAAGCTGGAGCCTCAGATCTCTCTGTGAATTCTTTCCATTTGCATTTTCCACTTCTATTCACAGAAAACGAGTTAGTTATGAAGATTGTATTAGTGAAGAATAATCTTTCCTAAATTCCTGTCCCCAAAACTAAAACTTACACACATTCACAACACCCATAACATCTCTTCCTTTAAAAAGCAATCCATTCCCCTATAGCTTTAATTCCCTCTTCCTCAGCCCTTGGTCAGTTAGTCATTACATCCAACTTAAGTATCTTCAAAGTCTTCCTCCAGTGTCTCTTTTTCTAATTCAATGATATGCTCTTATTTATCCAAAACAATGAATAATTTTTCTTTGAAATTGCTTTACTCTCCAGCTATGTTTAATATCTTCTTATCCAATTTTCACAAAATTATATTTAAAGTAATCACATATATCCATTTCCACACCTTCCATTCACTCATCGACATACAGGCATCTGGCTTCTTTCACTAGAAAACTCCTTTCACTGAGTTGGTATACTGTTAATTAACAAACACAGTGGACCTTTATCTTACAGCACATATGCTGCACTAATACTCAAACTTTCTTCTACTCTCATCTATTTATTTTAATGATGAGTATTATACCTTTTTTATTAACTCCTGAATAACCATCTTTGCCAGTGTTCTGTCTTATTGTCACTGCTTTTTTCAATCTACAATTGCTTCTGTGTCATCTGGATGATTTCTTCTATAACAATAATTTTATTCAAAATATTCTGTAATTCCTAAATCTATATTTTTAATTCAAGCCTCTCCCCTGCCTTCAGTCTTGATATCAAAATGTCGATAGTATTCCAAGAAGATTTATCACTTAGCATGCATAAAAATGGACTCATCTTCACCCACAAACCAGTGATCCATTTGGTATTTTTTGTCCAAATTGTTGGCATCTCAATTCATCAAATAAATCAAACTTGAAATCTGGGAGTAAGTTTTTAATTCTCTCTCTCCCTTACTCTAGAATTTACTTATCAAATTCAGGCACTTTGACAACCTAAATAGTTTACAAAGACATCCCTTCTCTATAAATTTAATGGCTTACTCTCTTCCTAAACAGTATCGAATAACTTCCAATATCAAAGAGTCCCATAAACAAATTGGTGGCTTAGAGGCTATGCACAACTTAGATATTTTTGTTTTCAAATAATAATAATATTAATCATGCACAGTAATGATGGATGATATAGATGTATAAATAGATAAATACTTAATCCTGCATATATAAATGATATGCAGAAGGAACTGATATATGATAATACAGAATGCTTCTGGTCCCCCAATATCTACTCTGCATTGTATCCATAATAATAAAATTTTTGATGAGCAATGGCCACCTGGAATGCAAAATCCATCTTATAGCCTTCCTTGCATCTTGGCATATAATCCTATGGCAGTGTCCAGTAACCTTATCTGAATGACAACACTGTATTCCCCATTGTATTGACCAGTTCCTCTACTGCCTAGACACCTTCAGCCAGGATGATGTGTTACAGCTCAGGGATGCTGAAAGAGTGAGCTAGACAGAATCTGGCTTCCTGTAGTTTTGGTGGAACAGAGCTGACATTCCAGCCCAGGACTGCATTCTTCCAGACTAATTTGTGAGCAATAAACAATTTCATTCTTGCTTAAACACTATTATTTCAGAATATACTATTATTTGCAGCTGAACCTAATTCTAATGAATACACCAGATTTTGGGGTATTTTTGAAAGACTGGACAATCTGGCAATTCTATGCCACACTTCCCCATGGCAACGACTGGCTGGAACAGAGTAGCATCAGTGTTAAAAATACTGCATTGTCTCCCTCTCTGGACTTGTTTTTAATAATTAATGTTATTTGCATTTGGATATGAAACACCAGATACTATCCAATTTCCTTAATGTAACATTCAAGGATCTTGATAACTTTATACCTAATCACCTTCTTTATACTCCTTTTTAAGATTTTTTATTATCTACCTAAAGAAATTCCTTGCATTTCTCTACATGTACCAGTCTCTTTCTAATCTCTCTTCCTTGTTTTATGCATTAGCTGGTACCTAGAAGACCCCTATAATGTTTGTCATTCCAAACAGCACATGTGCCATTAGGTAGCCTTCTGTGAAGGTCACCCTTAGAGGTTTCTTCTTAAAGGAGGCCTTCTCACCCCTTCAGGTTGTGTTACAAGTCCTTTCTCAATGCTTGTAATTCTCTGAGCATATCTATTAACACATTATTTTAAAAAATAACTACTCAGCAATATTCTGAGTAAACTTTAGAATGCCTAAGAAATATGTAGGGTGCTATTTTTAAAGGGCCACTGCCAGAAATTTGAAAATTGTGAATCAGTAAGTTTAAGACATTGCCCAAGAATCTGAACTTTAATCACCCCTGATGATTCTTTTTCTTTCTTTCTTTCTTTTTCTTTCTTCTTTCCTTCCTTTCTTCTTTCTTTTTCTTTCTTTCTTTCCTTCCTTCTTTCTTTCTCTTTCTTCTCCTTCCTTCCTTTCTTTCCTCTTTCTTTCTCTCTCTTTCTTCTTCTTTCTTTTTTCTTCCTTTCTCTTTTTCTTTTTTCTTTTCTTTCTTTCTTTTCTTTCTCTCTTTCTTTCTTTTTTCTTTCCTCTTTCTCTCTTTCTCTCTCTTTCTCTTTCTTTCTTTCTTTCTTTCTTTCTTTCTTTCTTTCTCTCTCTCTCTCTCTCTCTCTCTCTTTCTTTCTTTCTTTCTTTCTTTCTTTCTTTCTTACTTTCTTTCTTTCTTTCTTTCTTACTTTCTTTCTTACTTTCTTTCATCTTGCTCTTTTGCCCAGGATGAAGTGCAGTGGTGCAATCATAGCTCAATGCAGGCACGAACTCCTGGGCTCAAATGATCCACTTGCCTCAGCCTCCAGAATAGCTGGGACTACAGGCAGGTGTAATCACGCCTGGCTACCCACTGATTATTTCAATACAGGTGATCCACCAATGATATTTTGACAGGAAATGTCTTAGAATGTGAGCTCCCCAAGAGACCTGAGAGGGTCTGGGTTGTCTTATTTACCATATACTCAACACCTGGCATATTGCCTTTTGCTCAATAAATGTGTGTTAACGGAAGTATCTCTCAACACTTGGAGAAGCAGAAATCATTTCAGGTCACAAGGTCAATTTAATAAAACATAGCTACAGCATACACAGCTGTAAGGCATCTTCTCTATACCTTGGCTCAGTCTGGCAAACTATCAGTACAGGAGTTAGCTAGGATTGTAAGCAAACATGTTTATCATCTGTGTTTCTAACTATTCATAAAGCTTATCTAGCACAGCAGTACAAATGCTCTTATTCATTCAAATGTAGTATTTGTGTGCTTATAATTGTGTGCTTATGATTATTTAATGGCCAATATGTACAGTCTTTTATTGACATTCACAGATATTCATAGATATAGACGTCTATGAATGACAACACTGTTGTCCCATTGACTGATCAATTCCCCTACTGCCTAGACACCTTGAGCCAGGATGATGTGTTACAGCCCAGAGATGCTGAATGAGTGAGATAGATAGATGATAGATAGATAGATAGATAGATAGATAGATAGATAGATAGATAATATAGATGTATAGATATAGATATATCTGTGAATATCGATGAATGTCAATAAAAGATTGTACATATTGACCACTAAGTAGTTCTATTGACCAACCCTATATGTTATTTACAAAATAATTTCTATGATTTATTTCGTGTTAAGATCTAAAATGTAAAACTCTTATGTTTTCCAGCTTAGTAATGGAACATATTCTGAGTTGACAGAGATTTAAATTGACTGAGAAAATAGTAAATGACTATTTTGACATCCAGATTTTATATTCCCTAACACTCTAGATATTCATCTCATTGGTCTAATTCAGTAGGTACCACATGAAAAATGTGTTTACGTTTACAACCCAAAGGTCTAGGAGTTTATAATTTTTTAAAACAATTTAATATACGTAAGTCCATATAATTGTTGGCTATGGAAATGCCTTTAATGAAATAAAATGTAAAAATAAATTGATATGTATTAATGCTATTTCCTGCTCAAAGAGAAGATGCTCAGCTTTTCTATTCTTGATATATAGCTAATTTATAGAAATCTACTAAACATTAATAATTTGTTTCTAAGTTATCAGCTTGAGTTAAAAGACACATATAAAAGAGACATATGTCATTCTGAGGAATAATCATTCTTTAACCTGAGGAAAAGCTCTCTTTGGGACATCCTTGGCTATTTTCTGTCCCTCTTATAGCACTTGACTTTCATAAGACCTCTGGGATTATTTTTATTCATAACATTTTGTCCATGCCCTTGCCAAACTCCACTATACACTCTAAACCACATATGCATATGAGTTTTCGTTTTCCTCCTTAATAGACCTTGAAATTTCTGTCTTAATGCCAACAATTAGTCAAACTGAGGGTTTCCATTAACTGTGCAGGTTCCCTGACTAATGTCTCAGGGTAATAATATATTTTAACCCTGGTTGCAGTTTTAGAGTACCATAAGTGTCTTAAATTTGCCATTGTCTCCCTTTAAGCAATAAATTCTTCATTCTCTCAGCTAGTTTTCAATATAAGCTAGAATATTGACCTATTGGGTCTTTTTCACCTGTTTACACAAGTTTAAAGAGCACAGTTTTAGGGTTGGCTTAAAGGAGGAATTGTATTTAATTACAAAATTAATAAGAATATATATTCTAAAACAATCTTCTAGGTCTCAGGTTTATTATGAACAACAGATAAGAATGAGAATCATAACATTAAGCATGAAAATTTATAACACAAAAATATAATACAAAACTAAATTGTGCTTAATATAAGTGAAACACAGCTCCAACATATATCTTACTGGTTAAACTAAACCAATGGAACCAATAGTCTTTGCAAAAGAGTTGCCCCTTCATTAATATTAAAAAAAAAAACCTAATGATTAAATATTCATACCATAATGTTAGGCTGCTGAAATAATGTGATTCATAATCTTCTATAGCCTTATAGAATCAAATAGTTCAATTTATAAAATGTCTTCTTGTATTGAAATAACAGAGATTCATTTTTTGTCTCCATAACCAGCATAATGATCGTATCAAGCCTCCTTAGTCCAATGGGCCGAAAGAATGATACCGTCCTGTGATTTTTGCCCTGCTCTCAGAGGATACTTTTGGAAAGAAAAAAATGATCTCTGCAGTAGCATTCAAGCTGCTCAGCTAGAGTCAGAATTACGTTTAATTTTGTCTCCAAGTGCTGTCAGTCATATTGTAACAGAGGACTGGAAAGATTCAAGCTCTATTTCCAACACAAAGGCAATGGAGATCCCTTATTTATTTTCATAAATTCCTTTAATCCATACAGCACACATTGGAGAATTCTCCACCTCTTTTCCAGAGCCCCAGTGAGCAACTAATGGTGGATTCCTCCCTCAAAGTTGAGTTATTTTTTTGTTTTCCCCAAAGCATTCATGAATTATGTAGGAGCACTCTAGTAGAGAATCTATATATTTTTGGTGTCTCTAAACACAGATTGATCATCTTAGCAAAATGTATTAAACACTCTTATTGTATATCTGCTTTAATTTTTTTTTAAAAAACTGTGAATGTATCATAAAACTTCATTTTTCTGTCAAAAAAGAAAAACCCTCCACCCAGTTATCATGAAAAATAAACCCAACCTTAATGTTAATGCTAATGTGAATCTATCAAAATGTTTTAATGCAATAAAATAAAATAAAGTAAAACAGGATTTCATGAAGAATTCATAGGAGTTTCAGATTTTGGTACAATGTTATCAAACTTTAGAACACAGTTGTCACCATTCTAACATTTACAGATACAATCATTGGTTTTTAAATCCCAAATTTAGAAAATGCAACTCAAAGATACAAGCCAATTGATTTACAAAAATAAATTATATATCCTTTTCTAAAACTGATTTTTTAAAAACAACTGTGTAATACCTTAAAGATGATAATTAATAATTGCCTATGAATAAGACTATGATTATTTTTAATACAAAAGGGATTACAAGAACTATAGAATATTATCAAGAAAAGCCAATCAATGTTGAATAACAAATACTCCTTGATCTATTGTAATTTGGAACAAAATCTGATTCCATTTAATAGAAACTAGTAATTCCCAGTAACTATTGTTAAGAAAGCTTAAGTTTCAAAATTATGTAAGAAACTCAAGCTTTATTTGCAAACATATTTGACCCTTATTTCAGCCCTGTATAAGGCAACATTTGGCAAATTTTAAATGTGTAAAACATTTGTACCAGTCCTAAATCTTAACAAGTAGTTTTACTAAATCTATAATAAGGTCTTGCTTCATTTGTTCAACAAACTATGCAAACACACAATTTTTCTTCTCATAATTCTATTAGACTTGCAAATTAAAAGAAACAGATGAAATTTCCCTATTTTTCAACATAGACCTCTATTTATTGGTGCTTTGTCCTATTTATCCTTCATGAGTCAGTATCCCAGAGGTTGTGGTGTAATACTGCCCTTATTCTTAGACGATAGGCTATGTGTGGGGCGGGATGAAGAAAAGTTTTCCAGAAACTCTTCAGTAGAATTTTATAAAAATCTTTTTGTAGCCACATCTTTGGTGAATTATAGCACTGTGACTCATTTGCTTTTATTGTATCATTTAATGTAAATCTAACTTTATATAAATCTATTTGTCTCTACCTATCAAATATGTATGATTAGTTTATCAAAAGATGAAGTTATACACCCCCTTTGAAATCTTACTGTCTTTATCTTTATAATAGACCTAGGAATGGAAATATTTACTTAAAATATTACACTTTATGTGGTGCACAGTATTGGATTTGGGAAGAGTGTGGTCTGAATATTCTCTGAAAGTAAAATTTTGCCTTGTCACTCTGCTACCATATTTCAAAGCTTAAAGATAAATATCCTCATAATGTTAATTTAATCAACTAACATTAATTATCTATTATTCTCCATATATCAGGGAGAATGAAAAATACATAAGACATGAAACCTATTCAGGGAAAACTTAAAATGTGAATTGACTCTAAAGTGTTTGGATATTCTAGTGCTCAAAAATACCTGTTTATTATTCTGAATATAGGTATAAATTATTTTAAAAGTAGGTAGGAAGTAAATTATTTAACACATAGCATTTGCTTACTGATCTAACAAAACAGTGGCAAATAAGAATAAACTGACCTTTTGTTTCATTAAGTATAGTCCTAAGTGATAAGTTCAGGTGGAAAATCAATTAGCTTTTTAACACACTAAATGAGAGGAAATAAACTTGCTTATAAAGCTGAGTGAGAAAGTCACCCAGTTACAGATTTAGAACTTGCATATTAATCAGTTGTAGGCTATCAGTTTCCTATTTATAGTATTTTATTTGTTAGTCTTACGAAATCTATGTATGGAAAAGACAAACTCATTAAAGACAAGGGGAACTTCGAATTGTGCAATTTTAAAATATACACTATTGTGACCAATTAATCTTATTTCTGTAAAGCTGCTAAATGATCAATCTTCCAGGGCTGGATTAATAGCGAAGGTTTGTCCATGACATGTCCTCTCTTTCTTAAAACAAAAGCTATTTTGAATCACTAGGTCATAAAGTAGTGATGTGATTCTGTGCTTCAACAGATGGCACAATTGAAGAAAGGCCAAGCTCTTTATGGTAAATGGCACACAACTGGACTTAGGGATGCCTGAGAGCCTCAGAAAATAAATGCAATGGCTTCTCTTTTTGTTTTGTTGTTATTGTTCCCTGGATTATTAGTTTTCTTTCAGAAGAAATTGCCGGTGAGCCTATTATTTTAGATCACTATGAATTCAGTTTCCTAAGGTTTGAGTCTGTTTTCTTGTTTTTTTTCCCCCCCTTGGTTATGTAAGACAATTACTTTTTCTGGGCTGCAATTCTAATAAGTGTTCTGGAAAAACAAACAAAGGTGATATGAATGACAGGAGAGTAATGGGTTGTGAGGCCAATAAGTGTGGGAAATATATCATATGTTTCTCATAGAAACAGAATATTGTATTGGATTTTGTGAATACATACTCCTATAATCTGAAATCTTATAAGAACTATTACTTAAGTTATTTAATGCAGTATTTCTCTAAATTTTAAAATCAAGAAATCCTTTTTTGGAGGCCACGAGTTTTGATATTACTTCGACCTTTGGAATCACGGACCACAGTTCTATAAATAGCAGAGTCAACATAGATTATATTAGAAGTCATAAGAGGGAAGCATGTTTTTCATCTTAAGCAAGTATATTCTGACATCTTAGCTCACTTCATGTTTAGTACTGGAAGGCAAAATGAATTGCTGATAGCATGGACTATTAGTATTATTTCAGAAATAATATTATAGGTACATCCATTGATAGATGCTATGCCAAGCAAAATAAACCAAAGACCCTTGAAGACAGCTAATACAGAGTTTTCAAAATCAAATACAATAGTTGTTCCAATTCTATAATTGATTTGGTGAGGGAATAATTTTTTTTTTTTTTTGAGACGGAGTCTCGCTCTGTCGCCCAGGCTGGAGGGCAGTGGCGCGATCTGGGCTCACTGCAAGCTCCGCCTCCCGGGTTCACGCCATTCTCCTGCCTCAGCCTCCTGAGTAGCTGCGACGACAGAGGCCGGCCACCACGCCCGGCTAATTTTTTGTATTTTTAGTGGAGACAGGGTTTCACTGTGTTAGCCAGGATGGTCTCAATCACCTGACCTCGTGATCCGCCCGCCGCCTCAGCCTCCCAAAGTGCTGGGATTACAGGCGTGAGCCACCGCGCCCGGCCTGGTGGGGGAAGAATTTTTGTTGTACAATCAGGAGTCAGAATTTCCCTTCCAATACTATAGGACAACTGGAAAGTGATAAAAAAGCAAAATCCTCTAGTCTCATTTGCCGAGGTGATGGAGAAAAGTAGACTTTACACGTTCTCACCACATACAAAAAAAGATAACTACGTGAGGGGATGAATATGTTAATTCGCTTGCTTTAATCTTTCAACAACGTATACATATATCAAAACATCCCGTTGTATCCCATAAATATATATACAATACTATTTGTCAGATAAATAAAACTTTTTTAAAGATAAAGATTGAGAAAGATAAATTTTAAAATATCTGATTGATTTAAAAAAAGGTGATTTGGCTCCTTAGCATATTTTATTTATATGCAATAAGAAGCACTATTTCTGCCAAACATGCCCATTGAAACGCTAGGATTAAACATGCACTTGTTTAAACTACCACACTGCTATTAAATTTTTTAAAACATCACATCTCTTGCAAAAAAAATTATTAAACCATTTCATCACATCCTAGGGCTATGTAGTTTGAGGTGTTTTTGTTTCTTTCTATAGACTGGCTAAAATCAGCTACCATGAAGAGATTTAGATGAAGCTTAGTTGGTAGAGGCACAGAAGGAAGAGAAATGACATTTTAGAGTATCAGTTACGGCCCAATGAGTAGAACAAGTGAGGAAGGATGTGAATTTAATTGTATTAAATTCTAAAAATCATGTATTTACTTCATGGTAGATATGGAATGGTGAAATATGACTACAAGATAGCATTGTATACCTATCATCCCAGGAAAAACAACAAGCATGTGGGTGTCAGAAAAGTGTCACAGAAGATTTAGGTGGATAGACACTGACAATCTTTCATCAAGTTAAAATGCATTTAAGTCCCTCAGTCCTGGATTTGAATTTTGGCTCTGACACTTCGCGGTGTACTCTTGAGCAAGTTGCTTTCTCATCCTGATTCTTTATTTATAAAATAGTGATTTTAAAAATTGCCTACCAGATAGGATTATTTTGAGGATTTTTAAAAATTATAAAATTTTTCTCTCCTATTAATAAATAGCTAATTCTTTCTGAAACTTCATAATGTCTCAACGGTTGTTTTAACGATTACTATATTCTCTTTCATGACACTTTCACATTCATATTCACATTGATATATTCACTATATTGCTTGAGGTAGGTACTATTGTTGTCATTCATGTATTATAGGTAAGAAAATCAACATGCTATAAGGTTAGTAACTTGGTTAAGTTCACACAGTTGATAGTTCCAAGAGCTATTATTAGAAATGGTACAGTTACAGGTTACTAAGCAGGTAGCTAGTCAGAGAGGAGCAGGGCAGGAGAGAGACCTCCCCCTCCCAACCCTACACCAGTAATGTCAGGTGACCATCATGTGATGGTCAGGCAGTTGCTAGCTGTCTCTCTAAAATAATTGATTGCAGCTGGCCACAGGGACAAGCAGTCCCCCAATAGATAGAAAAACTTGAAGCTGGTAATCAGCAGCTTCCAAATAATAATATCTGAGGAGTCTGGAGAGTGGGCTCAAGCATGTACACTAAGAGGCAAAATAGAGAAATTTAACTGATATATGACTCCTAGGAACATTCAATTGATCAAATATGATTAATTTACTATAATCCTCTTCAACCATGGTTTTATTCCAGGCCTACTTTTATACTACATTTACAACAATATTTGGATGAATTAACTGGAATAATTTTTTAAATATATAGATTGAGTAGGAAAATATATGTACAAATGTTCTATATAATTTTGAAAATTCTATACAATTTGTATAAAGTAAAATATTTTGAAGACATTTTAATGAACATATAATAAAAATCCAATTTGAGTTGTATTAGGTACCTTATGGTTAGTTCAACCTAGGGATTGGCAAATTACCAGAACAATTCTGATACCAGATCAATTCTGATACCAGACCTGATTTTATGCTCCCTGTGAGCAAAGAATGGCTTTTATATTTTTAAGTGCTTGAAAAAAATTTAAAAATAATATTTTGTGACACATAAAATTTATATAAAATTCAAATTTTTGTGCCCGTAAATAAAGTTTAAATTTTGCCAATAAAAATGTTTGGGAATTTGTTTTCTCTCTTATTTTACACATAATATCTGCATAATATACTTACGTACATAATAACAACATAATATCCTTGATTTTGCATCTTAGCCCATAACACCCAAAATACTTATTATCTGGCCCCTTACAAAAAATGTTTTCTGACAATTTGATTCTAGTCCAACAGTCTCATTGTAAATATGAAAATTGAGGTTTATTAAAATCAAAAGACTTGCCTAACAGAACTAGTTAGAGGAGAACATAATCCAGAATCAAGACTCTCTGCCCATAGGTTCATTTTTGTGGACCCCCAAATGATTCCAAGGGCTTTGAACTCTGTAGTAACATGGGGCTGTATTATGAGAAACTAACCAGTGCTTTCATCCAGCTTTTAACTTTCTTTTAAAAAATAAGCAGGGTATTTACAATATGGTATCAAATCTATACAGAAATAACTAAAGCTACTCAGAGCTTTACGAAGGGGAAAAATTGTTCTTATATCATATCCAAAACTATTATCTGAATTACAGCAGTACTAAAATTAAGAAAAAAAAAGTAATCACAATTTACTTAGAAAATTAAGTTCAATTAGACTTAGGTTGTTAAGGATTAGAGACAGTTAATGATAGTGAGCTGAATGTGCACATAAATGGTTTTATAAAGAAAACATTATTTTTTAACAAAAATTGTGCTGCCTACACAAAGTTTGGGCTCAATACCAAATGTTGTGTATGTTTTCTGAAGAGCTTGTCAAACCACAGAGTTGTACACAAGCAAAGGTAAAATAAAAACCTTCCAAAACAGAGACCAACATTTAACTAACTACCAAATAAAAGTAATCTGATTCTCATTCTTGTGTTGATTACTAAAGATAAGCTTTCTTTGTCAGAAATCTTTCCTCTTAGAAAATAAAAGTCTAAGTCTTCAGTCAGTGGTAATGGATAAGGTTAGTTACTTCATTCTCATTCTGAAATATGCCTATTAAAGCAGAACTTAAGCGTTTCAAGTTAAGCTTTACATTGTACCTTTATGTCACAATCTATTTTCATCCTTTTCCACACGATTTTAGCTGTTTTTACTTGATTTTCAGAAAATAATATTTTACTAACTTCTGGTTTGGGGAAAAATTACAGATATTACAGATATCAATTACGTTTCATACCTTTTCTATATTAGTTGTGTCTAAAAACAAGTTTACATTTAATTTTCAATAAATCTTCCTTGAAGATAAAGTACACCAGTTAAATGCAACCAAAGGTTTAGTTTTTAATCTGTAAAATGTAGCCATCAATAAAAGAGTAATGCTAAATTCTAAGTCCATATTTTACTTCCTAAACGCTCCTTGAGTTCCATATGCCCATTAGCAGCCTACCCAGCATATGTAAATAGGCAATCTCAAATGTAAATACTAAAGTTAACTCTACAACTAAAACCTGCTTCCTCCAGCCTTTTCCTCTCAATAAAAGGCATAGTCAAGTTAGTCAAGTTGGTTGATTAAAAAAAAAAATCACAAAATTATTTTCCTTTTCTTAGTCCCCACAGCAACAATATTCCTCCAGCCATCTCCACTGCTGTCACTATTGTCCAAGATACCATCATCTCTTACCCAAACTCTACAACAGTAGCTGTTTGTCTTGTACTTTGACACCATAATTCATTCCACTTTTTAAAAAGCCTAAAAGGTTATCTAAATATACTACTTTGATCATATCACTTGTGAGTTTGAAACTTTCTGTTATACTTGAAATATAATCTAAATTACTTGCTATAACCTATAAAGCATTATCTGGCTTACCTTTGCCTCTCTATGTTTGTCTGCTATGGGGGCCAGACTTCAGCCACTTTTCCTTTTTAGTTTTCAAACATTTTTAAATTACAATATATTGTACTTGGTGATTTATTTTCCAAAATCTCTGTTGCTCCAAATATTAAAATGCGTGTTCCTTTCTTATCATTTTTCACATAATTCGAGTCTTATCTGCTCAGAGAGAAATTCTCTGATGACCCTAAAAGAAAGGAGGAGATCATTTTTTTCATTCATAGCTCTTCAGTATTCAAGTTTATGTTATCTGTTACTTATTGTTTTATGTTCTTCTGTAATCCTCTATAGAATGTAAATTCAGGTAAACAGAAGCATAGTCTGTTCTGTATAGCTTTAAAATCTCCGCATAAGTGTCCGGTATATAGTAAATGATCAATAAATATATGTATTATAAATACTGCAGATGGGACAGCAGATATCTCTTCAATAAACTGATTTTTTTTTTCTGGGTATATACCTAGTAGTGGGATTTTTGCATCATATATGGTTGTTCTATCAATCAAGGTAAAATTGCTATCATCCCACTTGTTTTCCTGTTCCTTTTCGTATTTTGAATTTGGTATAATTAAGATGTAGCTCCCTAACATAATGCTATGTTGGCTCCTCGAAACATTTTGGGCTATATGATACATTTACTACTGACACTTGTATTCTGAAGAACTCACTTTATTTTAAAGGCTGTAGTGAAAATATTTCTCATTCATCGTTTAAAAGACAACATAAATATAGGTTGAAATTTATCTTCTGGTAGTATGTTGTACCAGTTTCATATATTATGAACTAAAAATCCTGAATTTATAAAACAGAATAACCCTGTTTCCAGTCTATGTGAGGACTAAGCTCTGAATTTTTTATCTTGCCCAAATTCCTACCTAAGGGGTCTACGGAGTCATGCCCTACAAATCATAAATTCTCATCAGATGGGTTTTATTTGACCCTATATATCATGACTTACTTTTCAGTCTGACTCTGGCATAACACTACAAGACAAGGGAAAAAAATATTTAACCCCAAAATATATTTCCTTGCCATACCTTGAAATTGCCCTGTAAAAATCTCTTGTGGGAAAAATCCACATCCTATGGAGAATCCCTTTTCCGCTTCGTTTTCCTTCCTTTCTTTCCAGATCCAAGGGATAATCAGCTAACAGCCAGGCACCCTTTTAGGTCTGATGAGAAACATTTTACAAACCTGCTCTCTCTCTGAAGTCTGCTATCTGAGAGAATCATCTGCACAATAAAATTCAGTCTCCATAATCTTTTATCTTAACCTGAACATTCCTTTCCATTGATCCCAGGTCTTCAGATAAACTCAACCGTCAACCAGAAAATGTTTAAATTTACCGGTAACCTGGAAGCCCCCGCTTTGAATTGTCCCGCCTTTCTGAACCAAACCAATGTACTTCTTAAATGTATCTGATTGATGTCTCATGCCTCCCTAAAATATATAAAACCAAACTGTACCCCGACCACCTTGGGCACATGTTCTCAGGACCCCCTGAGGGCTGTGTGATGGGCCATGGTCACTCATATTTGGCTCGGAATAAATCTCTTAAAATATTTTACAGTGTTTGACTCTTTTCGCCGACATAAGGATTTAATTGCTCATCAAATACGTAAATTGGGCTTGTAGGGATGGAAATTTAATAGGCAAAATATTAGCTATCCATGAAAAGAATACTGAAAAAAAAGGCTCTATTTTGTAAAAAATTGTAGCATAAAAATCTTTCAACTGGCTATTAGTAATGTCATACTCATGCAAATAATGCTCAAATGTGCTCTCATCTTACTTTCTTCTTAATTTGATGTTATAAATTTTGAGTTAAAATAGTAACATGACGGCCGGGCGCTGTGGCTCACGCTTGTAATCCCAGCACTTTGGGAGGCCGAGGCGGGCGGATCACGAGGTCAGGGGATCGAGACCACAGTGAAACCCCGTCTCTACTAAAAATACAAAAAATTAGCCGGGCTTGGTGGCGGGCGCCTGTAGTCCCAGCTACTCGGAGAGGCTGAGGCGGGAGAATGGCGTGAACCCGGGAGGAGGAGCTTGTAGTGAGCAGAGATCGCGCCACTGCACTCCAGCCTGGGCGACAAAGCGAGACTCCGTCTCAAAAAAAAAAAAAAAAAAAAAAATAGTAACATGACATTCCATGTAATTCAATTCTTGGAGATTACTGCTATTTCCAGCTGTTAGTTTCTCGGCTTCAAGTCTTGTTTCTCATAAGATAAAATACCCTCCTGGAATACTCTACTTTTTACGTATTAATGTCTCATTATTCCAAATACCATCTGTATCATGAAATCTGATTGTTGGAGCGCTGACTGTTATGGTGAAAAATACAAATATCATCCAATCAAAGTTTTGCTGAAAAATTAAAAAAGTAACATTTCCTGATCAAGAAAAAAATTAAGGGTTCTCTCTCTCATTAAAGCATGTGCTGAGATATAGGAAAACATTTAGTCATTGAGAAAAAAGAGGGATTAATAGCATTAAACTATTTACTTAAGTAACTTAGTCATTTCAATCTCTTTAGATTCATTTGATAATTAGTTAAGCCAATTTACATCCATGATTTAAAAACATTGAGAAGTTCACTAACGTTAATATCAACTTAGTTATGACAAAGCCATATCCAACAATTTACTGTATAAGCTACCAAAAAACACACTGATGGTAAATATGCCCAATCAAGTAAAGTTAACTGGATTCACAACTAAATCAAATTCGCTACAAAATTTATCTAATTGGACATAAATTAGTACATAATTATTGTATGATACCATGTCATATTTAATAGAACAAAATATTTCAGATATAATAATTTAGTCATGTAGAATTATTTTAATTATATGACAGGTTTTTTAATAAATAATAATACCTGGACTAAAATATACAGATTCTACTACAGTATAGAGGCAATGCATAGTTTCAAATTCCTTAACTATTTTGTAATCTTATTATTTTATGGAAGAGGCAGTAAACTCTATATAAGCACAGAATATTATCCAAATCCTATTACTATCATAATGATGTGAATTTCTTTTTTTTTTCATATGCAGCTTGGAAATGTTAAACAAGATATTGATTTAAAATGGAAAAGTGCACAGTCAATGTCACAGAATCTGGTAACAGCCATTATTGTTTATGGTGCTAGTGACCCTTTTCCACTTATCCTCCTTCCCTGGGAAGCAAAGACTGCTTCTTTGATAATGCTGTGGAGTGGCCATTTATCATCTATATTTGAGGCACTTTCATTTTTCACTATATATTGACTTTTTCTATCGATATGCTACAGCTGAGCATGTTTCATTCGTGTATTCTTCTGCCAAGAAATGGAGTTGGAAGCAAAGAGAAAAAGACATATAAGTCAGTAAATGCATGGCTTAGCTTATTCCTTCCTGCTTGTTAAACCTTTGGACTTGTGCATCTGGACATTACTACTAAGTAATTGAATATTACGTTTTACTAAACAAAAAAAATAGCAAGATGATTATTAGCTTTACGGTAAAATTGTAAAATTATATACAATATTATATTAAAGCTTCTATAATCTAAATCTATTATATATATAAATAACAAAAATCAAACCTAAGTGCCCAGAGACTGTTTCTAAACTTCTTATAATATAAAATATTTTATTTAATTTTCTAATGTCATGTCTGATTTCTTAGATAAGTACAATTGAAAAATTATCAGTCATTCACTTGTCCTGATAAAAACTGGTTTGATTATTTCTTTTTAGAATGCTTGTTAGAAAACTCTTCATGAAGTTATAAAATAACAGGAATTATTCCCATTTCACAGAAAAAGAAGTGAAAATAACACTACTGAAGTAATTAAATTACTTCTATCATTTAAAACACTGTTTTAAGATTTTCATCTATTTGACTAATAAAACTGATGTAATGATTGCACTTTTTCAAATGATTCAAAACCTAAATTACTTGAAAGAAACACAAAATGTTCTAGTGGCATTCTTTAAACACTGCCAGTTATGCACTGGTCTATAATTCCAATGATGTATATATCTCACCTTTGTGGGGCATAAACTACTTGAGGGTTGAAGTGCCTTATTTTCCCAAGAGAGCTTCTATGATATTTTTTATGTGGCAAGTGCCCAATTAATGTTGCCAATTGAATATTTATGTCTAACACATTCAAAAGTCTTCAAACTATTAGGTAATTCTCCAATAACCTTTGTGTGAAGTTCATGTATAAAATGTAATTATATTTCAAGTGTGTAACATAATATATATTTAGCAGGTAAGTGGAAAAAGAGTAATTAATTGGTTATTGAGGTCTAAGCCAATAAAGTGAAATTGCTAGTCAGTTGAGGGAAAGGGTTATACTGGGCTTAATCATCAAAGATGATTTCTTCAGTGGTTTATTTCATTTTAAAACTGTAGTTTTTAAACACTTAATTTGTTATTATCTTAACTATTCAATTTTTTTCTGAAATCTGATCGAGTTTTGGTAGATCATAACAAATTGTAATAGGTCACAACAAATTTAGCTCACGTTTCAAAATTTGTTATTAATAGATGGCTTCATGAAACCACTTAGTAGCATTTCTTTTCAATGCCAAGAAGAAAATTTTGTATGTCTTCATGTTATAATAACATTTTGATAACACTATAGATGAAAGAAAATGACAGGGGATTATAAGAAAGGTATTTAATTTAGCCCTCTTTATGGTTCAGGGCCATGTTAAAGCAAATCATGTAACTTAAAAATCTTCAGTATGCATGTGCTATATCTGTTGATATCATGCAGAGTTCATCTCTTAGATTAAATGAATAGATTTCAATAATAGAGAAAATGTATCAAAAGTTAACACATGCTAAAATTAAATATTTAGCACATTTTATATTTCCATTTTTCTTTAAATAAGTATACAAATAAAAATAAGATTTATAAATTAGCAGGACTGCTGAATTAGAAACCACTATTTTCAATATTACACTAACACATTATAAACAGAACTTCCATGTTCACCCTTGCAAATTCATCTACCTCTCTCTACCTACTAAATAACATTAGAAATCCGAAAAAGCTAAATTAACAAACTGTCTTTATAATCACCAATATAACTTTAACACATTAAAATTTCTGACAATTCTAAGTACATATAATATAAATACTGTTAAGACAAAGAATCTTGTTATGTTAATGTTATATTAACTATTTCAGTCTCCTCTTGGGTAAGCATGTAAAAATGGTTAAACAATAAATTTCTATGGCAACAACTTAAATTCTAGGATATTCTTAGTTATAGCAGCAGCCACAGAAGCTACTACTTCCTCTTAGGCAATGTAACTAAACAAGATCCTTCTTTCCTCCTTTTCCATTGGGCACAACTAAAATCTCTTTTACTTTAATGAACTAAAGAATGATTTAACTAGAAACAAGATATCTCAACTAATGTACATGATTAACTATAGTTACATGAACATTTTATGCAAAGACAAAACAAAGAGAAGATGCTAAGTATTTTAAAATGAAAGTTACATGGTGTGACCAAATGTATTATGTATCTTATAAACTAACATATACTTGTATAAAACTAATGTATATCAATTAATTGTTACAGAGATATTTTATCAAAATGAATAAAACCCTGCTAGATTAAATAAACAAATGTTCTTATACATGAAATTATTGGATATCTTTTGTACATAGATTTTCACATATATTATTTATTAAAATATTCTGATAGTCCTACAATTTTAGAGTCAATATATAGATGATTTAGTTTCAATCATTTGAATATCTGTAATTTATGAACTCATTTAGCACACTCATCTTTTCTTTTATGTGCTGTGTCTTCTTATATACTACTCTTGGAGAACACACTGAAGTTATCTCCACTGAATGAAGGGCAAATTTCTGTTGCTGCAAGAAATATCGGAAATATAAAGGGCCACCAATACATATTTGGCTGTGAATATACAAACTGAGTGCCTAATTTGTTACATAGTATTTTCATAAATGCTTTTTTTTTTTAAGATTGCCTTAAGAACTTGATCAGGTAAATGTACGTGATTACTTACTCAAAATATAAGGTCTTTGAGTACAAGGAAAATTGAATTTAAATTCCACTCCACTATTTACCATGTATGACCAGAGTTACTGCTGACTTTTCTTAAGCCTCAATTTTCTCATCTGTATAATGGAAATAGTATCTTACTAACTGCCCTGTGGTTGTGGAGATTAAATTAAATAATTACGTAAATCACTTAGCACATGCGTGGCACACAATGAATACTCCAAAACCATTGAAACTACTATTTAAAAATAATTTTACCCCTTTAACCTTGGTTTCTATACTGTAATTTCTTTTCAATTAAAATGAAGAAAAGTTCTCGCCTCTGTGCACATCTTCTATGAGAAGTTCTAGTTTCCTGACCTAGATTAGTCATGTATCAGTTTCAAAATTACTAACATACCTCACTAGATATCTGCCATTAAATGTCACCTTCCACCAGAGATGTTGTTTCTACATCTGTCATTTTTTCTTTTCTTTCTAAAGGTCATAACATTGTCGAATGTATGCCTCTTCTTCCCTAATTTTTCCATCACAAGTAAATCTGTTGATTGCTTACCGAGAACCCAGTTGTACTTTCTGTAAAAAGAATAAAGCCATCCTGTAAGAAATTAATAAATAGAAAACAACCCATAATATCTGTCAGAGGAGAGTAGGTTGCAGGTTTACTGTCATGAAATGCAGTCCACAAACAAAAGAATCAAGAGAGAAAATGATGAATGGCCTTAGGAATAGTCATGGTTTATAATAAAGATTTTATTAAAAAAGTGTTAAAATAAATAATACATATTCCAGAACATCACTGTTCTGAGAAATCACTTCCCTTTAGAATATGAGTTCTAGATGGCAGATCTACTTACAACTGCTCTGAGGTCTTTCACTAGCTGATTTATAATCCTATATTAAAAAAAAATCTATAGTCTGCAGTCTTTTGACATACTTCTCAAGGGTGGATATGTGGTGGAATGCAGACTCCATCAATATGTGTGGTTTTGTTTGCTTTTTGTAGCTTAACTGCTGTTTAGAAATCCCAGAGGAATATGATTGAGGCCAGAGTTACATTGGTTCATAAAATTCGAACAGTTGAAGCTGTTTTTGTTAATTGCTGGGCCACAACCAGAAATCCGGATGATGGGAGAGAAACACTTCTTTAGGATAATGATTAATTTCCATAAAGATGAGTGCTTTAACAAATTTCAATATGCAGTTGCTGGGGCGGGGAGGGTGGGTGGGCACTAATTAGTTTTACCGTTTTCAGCAGATGTTGAATTCAAAATGCCAGCAGCATCTCAAATGCCAGTCATTAGGTCTGTCTTTCATTGAGGAGTGCTGACCAATGAAATCTCCACTCTGTTTAATGAGACCTATCTAGGCAGAGTCAATTAAATCAAATCTCTCCTAACATCCTTAATATATCTGCAGTGTGGGCAGCACCAACAAAAGCAGCAGAGAGGGATTTCCAGTATTAATAAAGGGATTCACTGCTGCATTTGGAGAGGGGAAAAAAAGAAGGGGTGAGTGTTGGGGCAAGACCTTTATGGACTGGGGAAAGCCGGTAAAGTCTGAGCGAAGGTGGGGGTGGGGTAGAGGGTGGGGGCGAGGGAAGAGGAGCTACTTAAAGGGTAAAAAGCTAAGTAAGGCGATTAGAGAAAGAGCCTTAATGTAGCTCAGGAAGGGATCTAACCCCAACCGTTTCCCTCCCCTGTCTCTTCCACCGCAAATCCAATTTACCACTTGCAAATATGAAGCTGGAAAAAGGTAAGGACCCAGAGTTGAAAACATTTTCGCTTTAATACTGAAAAAATATGCCATTATAAAATCCTCGAATAGAATTAGTAAGTTTCACGTGCTTCCTCGGTTCTCTTTTCCTACTTTATAAGTAAGATTTATACCAGCACAGAATTGCTACCATAGGATCGCAGCCTAAGCACTAGAGTGACATTAATTGGTCATGCTTAACTGCCTCAAAATCATTTTTTAAATAATTACACTGATACTATAATAGAAATCATGGGTACTTATTTTACATTCAGATGGAAGGCATTATTGGATATGTATTAAAAAAAAGACCCCCTGAAAAAAATAAAATAAAATAAAACATCACCATCAAAATAAAAGAACCCAAAACAACCCCTAAAAACTTCCCTCAACAAAATACATTGTTAACTCATAAAATGGACTGATGACTAGCCATGCAAATGTCCTAAATAAAACCTTTACATTTTTTTCACAGTTAACTTATGCTCTGAACTGCCTACCGATCACAAATAATGGCGAAATGGCACTTTCTGATTATACTGTATTTTGTTTATAGAAAGTTTGATACGATGGAACTTATCAGGTAAGAGGGTGGGTGCTGTGAACGAGATGCCGTCTCCAGTCGCGGGGGCGGGCAGAGTCCCTGGAGCGCGTGGATTCCATGCGAGCCATGCAGCACTTTTTGTTTTTTGTCAGAAGTCAAAGTTACTTATTTACAATACATTCATGCCTTCGTGCAACTGCCCATCCCTGCGTAGCCAACAGGGAGCCATCACGGGGCTAATCCACAGGGGAAAAATAGATATCTATCTCTCTATATAGATGTGGATATATGTATATATGTATAGAACCGCGGCATCCAACCCCACAGGCCCCGGGGCCGAGGGCGAGGGCACTGTCAGTTCTTCCAGCAGGGTCGTGCTGGGCTTTCTGTCAAAAGGGGCTCTCAGCAAAGAGCGAGCTGGCTGCGCTCTCCCAGCTCTCCACAGTCTGCTCTTTGTTTCAAGGAGGGAGCTAAGTAAGGGGTCAGGCCCTTTCGGTTGTGCGAGCTCACAGTTATTTATCTACTTATGCCCATCCAGGCTGATGGCGCGGGGATTTGGGTACACGCCCCTCCAGCCCCCGGGGTGCCTGCGGTGGGGAAGGATGTATCGCCTTCCCTCTGCCCTCCCCTATTGGGGTTGGGGTCTTAGTCTGAGAGCGAGTGAGAGCCACAGTCATACACTCTGTGGGCCCCATCTGCGTTGTAAGGCCCATTGTGCCAGTAGGAAGAGTCACAGACTGTCTGTAGGGAATTAATCTCGGACGCGGAGGAGTTGGCATCTCGTCTCTTGGACCGCTTTCGGTTCCTCAGGATAAACACGAGCATGCCCACCACGGTGAAGGCGGAGGTGACAAACACCAGCAGCAGTCCCGGGACCAACACCGAGATGGACACCCTGCTGGTGTCTAGGTAGGAGTTGGAGTGCGTCCCGGTCTCCGCCAACCCAGTGCTGTTTTTACTGTGCGAAGTTAACGTGGGCGAGATCCTAGCGTACAGCTGAGGGCAGATCTCGTCATTGGAGAGGAGCATGAAATCCTTTCTAAAGAAGTTCACCGGCGTCTCACACTTGAGGTCGCTCATCAGCACTTCGGAACCCAAGCGTTCTGCCCACTGCTTGAAAGGCACAATTGTGCAGGAGCACTCCCAGGGGTTTCCGTGGAGGTCTATCTGGATGATGGAGGTTAACTGGTCCAGCACCCCTGCCACCGGGAGGTACATGAAGTAATTGTTGTGCAGGCTGAGTTTAGAGAGCGAGACCCCAGCGAACACGTCCACAGGCAGGGACCTCAGCAGGTTGTTGTTGAGAATGAGGATCCTCAGTTTGGGCATGGCATTGAAAGTGCCCGGGAGGATGAGCTGGATAGCGTTGTACTCCACGTTCAGGTACTCTAGGTTTTGCAGCCCCGCGAATTTCTCCCGGGACAGCGTGTCCAGGTAATTGCTATCCATGTATAGCCACCTGAGGTCCAAAAGGTTCTTGAAAGTGTTGTTCTCTACAGTAGCGATGTTATTGTTGCCCAGATCCAACAGAATGAGGTTCTTGTAATCCACAAAGTGCGATTTTCGGATGCTGTGGATCTTGTTATCTCGTAGGAAAAGCTCCTGCACGTTAGAGAGCTTGGGCTTCAAATCAGCCAAGCTGCTCACGTTCCTGTTGTTGCAGTTCATCTTTAAACCCGACCCTGGGATGTGGTCGCAGCTGCAGCCCCCAGGGCAGGGTAAACTGTTAGCTAAGGGTTTGTTCCTGGAGCTACCCGTCGCTATCGCTGCTGTGGGTCTGATTTTGATCTGCCAGTTGCCTGGGATCTTTGTACCTCCGTTTGGAGCAGACCCTGGTGTGGCATGATCCTCTTGCCCATTTGTCTTGAAAGGAGTTGGCAGGGGTCCAGGAGCAAAGGTCTCTTCTTGGGCAGGGGGCGCCGGGAGACTAGAATCCACTCGGTTTTTCAAAGGACACAAGTCCTGTTCGGTGGTTTCATTGAGGTCTTTACCCTGCAGTCTGGTGGGGGCTTCGCAGACCACTCGGCCGATCAGGGCATTCTTGGGAATGTTTTCCAGCCATTCTTTCAGGGAGAGCAGATCACAGGTGCAGTCCCAAGGGTTATCCTCTAGCAGGATCTCCGCAATACCAGGGATTTGCTCCAAGACCTCCTCATAGGGCAGCGTTTTCAGCCTGTTACCCCGGAGGTCGAGGTGGGTGATGGGCACATACTGGAACACGTTGGCAGGTAGGGTGCTGATGAGATTGTCATTTAAAATGAGCACCTCCAGCTTGTTCAAGTCCTGGAAGGCCCCCGGGTCTATATCTCGTAATAAATTAAAATCAGCCTGGAGATATTCCAGATCGTCCAGCCCCAGAAAAGTCTGCTTTCGAAAAGACTTGATCTTGTTGTTGTTGATGTGCAGCCTTTTCACCAGCTGCAGCCCCAGAAAAGCCCCCGGAACGATTTCATGCAAGCCATTGTTTTCCATGTGCAAACTAACCGCATTATAAAAGTTAGCGAACTCATTAGGGAAAAGTCGAGTGAGGGAATTGCCATGCAGAAATAAATGGTAAAACTGGGAAGTCGGGGCAGTGAAACGCTGCAGACTTGTGAAGCCCTTTTTTTCACAGTCTACGTGTAGGTCCCCTTCTATCTCATTGCAGGAACAGATCTTCTCTTTGCAAACGTCCCCTGTAACGTTTCCAGCGGCAAAACAAAGAGACGTCTCCAGCAACAGAATCCAAAGCAGCATTTTTAAAGCGAGCAATTCATCCCCGATCTCATCACAAAGTAACAGCGACCATCCTGCTCGCCACAGACACAATTCAAGTTCATTTAGTGCTCCAATGTCCGAAGCCAGGAAAGGAGAAGAAAAGGGTTTGGGGGGGTGGGGGTGGATTCCTTCCTCCCTAACCCCCCCGCACTGCAATAGCCCAGACGCCAGTCAATAATTATATCCACAAACTATCCAGGCACGTAGTGCAAGGCAAGCAAAGAAAAAAAAAAAAAAAAAAAAGTAGGAAAAAAACCCCACTCCCCCACAACACTTTAAAAATAACAGAAAAAGAAGTTAAATATATACATATAAATTAAAAGTACACCCTTACAGAATCTCATCTACTGATCTTCACTGATCAGAAATGAAACAATGCTAGTAATTAGAAGCAAGTGCATGTTAGAGAAACAAGCAGAGGGTTTGCAGCGTAGTACAGGCGCACTGCCTGTGCATGGCTGTGCGTCGGACTGACCTTGCCTCTCTGATACAAAGCAGGGTTTTCCGCGGCTTCTGTTGTTGAGGCTGCTGGTGGAGTTCTTGCTGTGGTTGCGGGTTGCCCAGAAGTCCCCCCGAGGTGCTGTCCAGTTCCCCCGGTGCTGAAATCACGCCCGACCGAAGGACTCACGCTGCCCAGCCAATGGCGCTGGAAAATTTCCGCAATCGCTGCGTTTTGTGGTTGTCCATCCTTTTCCTTTCCTCCCCTTCGGTCCTCTTAAGGCTTTTTTTTTTCTTTTCTGTGCTCTCGCTCTCGCTTACTAGCTCTTCTTTTCCTGTTCTCCTTCTCTTTCTTCTGCTCTTTCGGAATTACGTGGAGGGGGGCGGAGGGCGGGGGGCGAGTTGTCTGAGGGAGGAAGAGAGCGCGAGAATGAGGGGAGGGGGGCGGAGAAGAGAGTTGCTAAGAAGCTCTGCTCGTTCCAGCCTGGTGCACTCTGAAAGATCTGACACCCTCTGCTGATCTGCAGTAGCAAAAATCCATCTGGCTAGGGAATGCTGAAAGAAAAAAAAATCAATCCACGTACAGGGCAAGCGTTAAAAATGTGGGCATAAAAGGCTGACGATCTACATAGATGCTTATTTTAAATGGATTATTTGATTATTTTTGCGTGCTGGAAACTTTACCCTTTCCTTTCCTTAACGAGTTCACAGCCCCCACCAGCTCCACCATTCGGAAAGGAGTGCTTTTAAAACATTTATTTCCCAATGGCTTGAATAAAATTAGTGTCAGGGTGTCAAGCGAACAGCAATTTGAGGTAATTATACTGCACGCCATTTTCATCGGTTCTTTAAATGCATTTCTTCCTTCTCTGCGGCACAGTGTTTTACGCTATTTGATGTCTTTGAAACATTTCTTTTGGTATGTTCAAAGTGGCTTTCGGAACATATATGTTACATAATATCATAATTGAGTATGAATTTTTTTGCAAGGTATATAAATTAGGCATATACTTTTTAAAACTTGCAGAAATTTAGTCAATTTGGTCATTGAGAGTTAGGTTCTTTGATATTTCTTGAATGTTATTTAACTCTGGAGGGTGAAACACAATGCATGCTGAAGTCCTTGATTCCAGTCCCGAAAGCTTTAACTGAGAACCGGAAAAGAAGGGAGAGGGGGCAGGGAAAAATCCCAAGATGATTTGTGAGTGCTGTTAAAAACCCACTGGCAGGCAGGCGCGCGCACACTACACGCACGCACACACACACACACACCCCACTGACAAAGTTTTCACATCAGTTTGAACTAATTTAAATGTTTACAAGTAAATAACCAGTTGCATTTTGAGAGGAGGAGATAGAAATCTCTGGACTCTAAAGCTCAGCGAGAACGCTCTCTGCAGGTAGCCGGCAGCTCCTCTTCGCGCAGATGCTTGTTGGGTCACTGATGCTGGGGAAACACGAAGCTCAGGCTTTTTCCAGTTAAGGAAACAACAGATTCCAAACTCTGAGCTTATAAAAATCCAGTAATATCACCTTCTGGGATGGAAGAAAACGTGAACATGCTGCTTCCGTGAAGCCTCTTTTGCTGACTTTTCCTTTCAGAGTCGACACCTTTTCACATCAATACGTCCTAAAATATTTATAGATCATTTTAGGATTTGAAATTTTTAGGTCTTTTAAATAGAGTTACTGTTTGGCCCTTTCTTCACTCTATGCAGAGAGGATATGTTTACACCACTTGCCTTTTTAATTAGGTCTTTTGCAAGTTGGACAGCTGCAACGAGCTTGCTAATATTTTGTGCAAAAGAGCAAATGTTCAAGGAAGTGTGTATTTTGAGAAAGATGGGGAGTAAAAATTTGGGGGAAAGGACTGGGGTTGGGAAAATTCCCAAGGCTAGGGAAGGTCTTAAAGATGTTTACAAGATTTTTTTTTCTGGGTCAGAATCTAATTTCTAGGTGGGTGGAGAAAATTTCATATCTATATACAATGTTTTCATATGACAAAATATTTTTGTTGTATTCCTCTGGTGAAATTCAGTGAAGGGAGGTGGGGATGAAGACATTTCAGTGTGTGTGTGTATGTGCATGCATGTGTGTGTTTGTGTGTGTGCACGTGTGTACACTAGAGAGATCTTTTTTAGACATCCTGATACACTTCTGAAATAACTCTGTTCTCATTTAATTTGACCCATTACCACATGTAGAGAGTGAAAAAAAAAGACCTTAATCAATTTGAAACCATTATGCTAAAGAAATGCTATGCAGTTGAGAACTGCAGATGTGGAGGAGTTCAACTGAAGGAAATCATTTTTCTGTTTCTTCTTAAATAGGACTCAGGTCTAAAATATCTTGGCCCAAGAAACCACTCTGAGAAAGGAAATCAGCCTTATGGTGTCTGTGATTAATAGGGTTAGGCAAGACTCAAGGAAAACAGAAAAATGCTGGCTGTTTAGAAAGGACAATCATCTAAAACCCACATTTTTAACCTTAAAAGGTTACATTTTTTTTCAACTTACAGAATATTATCTTTATGTGAAGAGACTCCAAGAACATATTTAAGTTGATTTAAATGAATTTAGATAACCTACAGTTTGTATTCAGATTTCATTCTCCTCTTCACCCTTTAAATTCTGTATCTTTCTCTCATCCCTTATTTCTTCTTTCCTCTTAACACACCAATCACAATAGAAAATTTACAGTTAGGATTCTCCTATTTAGGTATCTTACAAAATTTTTTAAATTATATCCTCTTCAAATAATTTCTTATCTCTGCACTCTAAGAAAAAAGTGTGGTAGTTCTCAGATGAGCAACTAAACCTGAGAAGAAAAGATTAAGATTATACCGCCTATATGAAGATCTCCAATACAAACTTGCAAGCAAAATATAGAGGTACACATGTAAGTCTATTGAAATGGACCCTCTATAATAGCTATCATAATATTTTCATAATAAATATATTTTAGAGACATAAAACGGTCTAGAAAACCACACCTACAACTTCAAAGCCTAACTATTCAAGTTAAACAATAAATTTATTGGTGGAGAATAAAAATATAAGGGATTTATATGTGATCTAAACATTTCTAATACCTTAGGGGAATATTTCTTAGGCATGAATTTTTCTTAAAAGGGTTCCACGCTGTCTATTTGAGCTCAAGTGAACTCCTTCAGTTGCCTTGCCTCTCAACAGATAATCTCAGTAGCTGGAGATAAAGGATATTCCAGATGATGATGATGATTGATAATATTTGCTCAGGGCTATAGTTTAATTTCCTGGCTGTGACCAGAAAGATTTCAATTGTGTCATTAAATGTTCACACATTTCTATTCTTCATCAAACAAGTTCTCCTCTCAAACAAGAAAAGGTGTATGTTGATTGTTCAATAAAGAATTTTTCAGACTAAGAAGAAATTTGCCAGTTAATTATCCATTTTTTCCCAAATGGCATCAAGTTTCTAGATATTTCCATATGTGCACTACATTTTTAAAATGAAAAAGTAGAATTTATAACTAACTTTTTTTATCCAGTTTATTTAATCTTCACAATAACTTTAAAAATTACTGTTCTAATTTTTAACTGTAAAAGTAATACTTTGATTTAACAAATACAAAATTACATATAGGAAGTCTATCTTTACTCTTCCCTCATCCACAATACTTTTTATTGCAGAGAACTAAAGATAACTGGTTGGTTAATAGTGAATTTGATCCTATTTTATGGATGTGGAAACTGAGGCTAAGTAACATTGACTAATTTACCAAGATTAAAAAATATCATTTGACTTTGTTATGGTAACAAAGCTACAGACTCCTGAACTAAGCTTTTATTCTACTAAGTCTCTCTTTGTTCTTAATATACAATGCCATTTATGACCCTGGTTAAGCTTTCTGTGGATCAGTTTCCTTACTAGTATATTTAACACATACTAGTATATATTATAGTTTATGATTTTTTTGGTCCCTTCACGTTGCTTTTTTCTGAATCCAAAACACTTTAAAAATGATTTTACAACAGACCTAGTGTCTCTTGCCTTCCTTAGACTTTTCACATTTGAACTCAGGATAATTGTTACCACATTTAATATTTACTATGATTTGAAACCAGTAATAAACAGTATAACCACTGTAGGAGAGAATTCATTAGTCCTAAGTTTAATCTACTACTGTCATAAGATAAAGGGGTCATTGTGATTTTTTTCATCTTGAGATAATAATTGTAAACTACAAGACAGGGTTATAAATGAATTGTACCTATAAACAAATATGCTTAGAATGTAAGATTCTCACACATATTTTCATATCTTATTTTTGTAGATTGTAATATTCTAGGAATTGGGTGCTACGATAATGAAGATATTACACAATTTCTGAAGGTGAAGTTAATACAATATTTTTATAGTATTTCTTTTATAGTATATTGCTTTTTAAAACTTAGCAACTTTTATTTCTCATCAAAGAAATAGCAATCTCAGTAAAACACATCAAAATGAATGTACAGTTTTACTTTGTGGCTTAAAGTATCACTGTCCTATGTTTATATCATTTTATATTTTTTATTACTTTGGGCCATAGGTTTGGCTATGAGTTTCTCATATAGTCTCATTTTTGTAACAAATCTCATATTGGGCTTATTGGAAAGAATACTGATCAAAATATAATTTTATATATTCAGAAATTCTAATTTATTATTTTTGTTATTTCACATGAATAAGGCAACCAAAGTTTTGCCCAGTAAGGGTAATACTCTTAGCTATATATCACACTATACTACACACACTACAAGTATATGAGAAGGATCTATATTTCCACAATTGTTTATTATATTAATTGATGCTTAAGTATATACTTTTTGAGCACTTGTTTTAGTATTTTCTATATGTTCACAAGACCTTGCAGATACTCACACACAGAAGAAAAAGTCTGTGTTTCCTACAAAGTATGTATTATATTGTAAGATAATGAAATACATATTACTTACATAGGTTTTAGGAAACACAGAAAACAACAAAAAAGAAAGTTGAAATCCACAGAGATTAGTGCTGTAAAAATATACATATACTTTTTAACATGCTTTTTGTACTTAACATTTATTTGTGAAAAATTTTAATGTTATTAAACATCTTCTACTATCAGAGACTTAATTCCTTGTATGACACAAAATAATTCATAGGACTAATTTTACCATTGGATATTTAGTTCTTTATAGAATTTTTACTCTCATAAATAATGCAGCAAAGAACCACCTTAAACATAAATCAATGTTAACATCATTATTTATTTTCTTATTATAGGTTCCTGGAATTAGAATTCTTAGTCTGTTTTGTGTTGTGTATAATAGAATACCTAAAATGGAGTAATATATAAGTAAAATAAATTTATTTTCTACTGTTATGAAGGCCGAGGAGTTCATGGTCAAAGGGGATGCATATAGTGAGGGCCTTCTTGCTGGCAGGAACTCTGAAGACTTCTGAGGCAATGTAGGTATCACATGTCCAGGGAACTGATGTGCTAGCTCAAGTCATCTTCTTATTAAGCCACTAGTCCTACTCCTGAGATAATCCATGAATCCATTAATCCATGAATGGATTAATTCATTCATAAGGGCAGAGTCCTCATGACCCAGTCATCTCTTAAAGGCCCCACCTCTCAGTACCGCCTCACTGGGGATAAAATTTCAACAAGAGTTTTAGAGGGGACATATATCCAAACCACAGTAAATTCCCAGGTCAAAGGGTAGGAAAAATATTAACATATTTTATGTAAATTGACAAATTGTGTTCCCAAAATTTTTGGCAATTTACACTCCATGTGCAATAAATGAGATTTGCCATTTCCTTAAACCTCTGCCAACACTAGTATTACTTAGAATATTTTCTTTTTTCTTTTCTTTTGTCACCCAGGCTGGAGTGCAAAGGCATGATTTCAGCTCACTGCAACCTCCACCTCCTGGGTTCAAGCAATTCTCCTGCCTCAGCCACTCAAGTAGCTAGGATTACAGGCACCCGCCATTGTGCCCGGGTAATATTTGTATTTTTGTACAGATGGGGTTTCACCATGTTGGCCAGGCTGGTCTCGAACTTCTGACCTCAGGTGATCCGTCCGCCTCAGCCTCCCAAAGTGCTGGGATCACAGGCTTGCCACCGCGCCTCACTAACATATTTTCAGGTCAGTTCAGTACGATTAAAGTGAAGCCAACGCTTCACTTTACTTGAGCAAACACAGTTCAATTTCTGATTATTTATTGAGTACATTGTCTTTGTGATTTTTCTTCAACTTTTAAGATATGTTTTTGTTTAATATCACTTCTTTGGATCATTTCCAGACAAAGCCACCTATACATTTCACTGCATTTCTCCTTAAGGTATTCAGCAGAACAACTACTAAATTTTGTGTTCTTTTTTTAATTTAAAAAAATAACTTATTTGAAAGACTGAGTTTTCAATAAAGTATAACATTCTTGAAGAGAGGGATAAGATTTTCTATCTTTTAATATCTAACACCTAGCAGCATACCAGGCACAAAATATGGTATGATGTACACTCCAGCAGAAATAAGGTAGTATGTGAGATAGTGATAAACTTTGTGGAACAGATCACAAGGGTAAAAAGGCTCAGAGGCAAGGTAAATTCACAAACCAGGGATTTGGTAAAGTGATGCAATATATGAATTATTTAGGTAGCACTTGACATATCTTATCATGTATTATCATGCATATATTTATAATTTTTTATCTAGAAAATGAGATATACATTTTGTATATCCCAAAGAGTTATTACAGTAAAATGCACCTGGTCAACAACCAATAATTTATGATGATGCTAATGATAGGACTGTATTCCTGTTTTTGAAAAAGGAAGTAAATTATAAAATTAACTGTTGTGAATATAAATTGTTAAAAACAATTAATCTAAAGACCCAGTGAGGTTAACTCTAGGTTATCGATTGGATTTACAAAATGTATAAAAATAAAAATATTATTTGTTATTCTGTTAATCCTTTCAGAGCCATGACACAATCTTAAAGGGGCTAAATTATCTTACTTTTCTTCCAATAAAGACTTTTTTCTCTTTATTTCTCTTTCTATCCCATTGGTTACATTATTATATTTGTTGTATTTATTATTGTATTTCTCTTGGGACTTATTTCAAACCAAAATTTGATGTTTCTTTGAGAGGTTTCATATGATGGCGATGATCAGTGCTTCATTTAAAAACGTATTATACCCATATTCTGGGCTGGGAGCGGTGGCTTATGCTTGTGATCCCAGCACTTTGGGAGTCTGAGGCAGGTGGATCATGACGTCAGGAGTTCAAGACCAGCCTGGCCAATATGGTGAAACCCCGGCTCTACTAAAAATACAAAATTAGCAGGCATGGAGGTGCACACCTGTAGTCCCAGCTGCTCGGGAGGCTGAGGCAGGAGACTCGCTCAAACCCGGGAGGAAAAGGTTGCAGTGAGCCGAGATTGTACCACTGCACTCCAGCCTGGGTGACAGAGCAAGACTCCTTGCCCTGTCAAAAAAAAAAAAAAAAGTACTATACCCATATACTGTTTCATCAGTTTCCAGGAAAGGAATATGTTAAAAATCATTCATTTATTTATTTATCTATCACACAGACAAAGGCACACACATGCAGACAAGATACAAACATATCATATAATGCCTACTGTGTGAAAAAAATGTAAAATGCAAAACCAGAATAAATCTCTAAAGATATAATCACATGCACTATTGCAGACTAGGTAGAGAGATACATTTAACAGAGGTGGATATCTTTCAGTAATGGCCATTAAATCACATCATGTAAGTGATGTGTCTAACTGGCTAATAAAAAGGGTCAACACCATCCTTTTAAAGATTTCTGTAAAGCACTGTATACTAGTATTTAATTTTGATATCAATATGAAAAATGGGAATCCTGTGGACATTTTGAATTATCCAAGGACAAAGGATAATGTGAGTAGGATGACCATGCATGCCTGTTTTCTCAGAAAATTTTAGTTTATGCTTGCTGTTATAGTAGTAAATATTGGTGACACACAATTTTACTTTATAAAGTTTCCACATTCATACAATGAATTAATTGTATTGTATACCTTATAAATATTATTAAAGTATAAACTACATATTTTCTAATTAGTTAAAAATTAGCTCTTCTTACACTTACGGCAATTATTAGGTTGTGAAGAAGCATTATTACATATGAGCGGTTTCCTTGAACAGTGAAAATACAATAGGCTTTGGTGTGAAACTCAAGAAATCACACCTCGTTGTACACTTTTCTTATGGGGAAATATTATCTTATTCCTAATATTGATCAATTTCTCACCTTTTAAGTCTTGTTTAAAGTTAAACCATATAAGTTATTATAAAAGATGAAAATATTAGTCATTTTTCCAGATCTCATGGTGGCCAGAGGAAATCATATGACTTGGCTTGGCCAATTGGACTCACATATCTGGATTTTGAAATGAGAACTAGTGACACTAGGGCAGAGGAATAGAAGGATACCTCTACTAGAAGTAGCAATGGCAGGAATGTGGAGTTCCCAGCGTAGTAGTGGCAATGGTTTCCAGCATACTTGTTCTCAGGGTCCAGGACTGAGGGGGGCGATGTCGCAATCTGGTTTACCACAGGTTTGAGCATTAGCAGCACCATCCTCAGCAGATGGGTGCTATGGCATAATTTCAGCCAAATCTGATTAGAGTACCATTTTTTTTTTCCTGTCCATCTACCCAACTTAGTTTTCTCTGGTCTTTCCAGAGATTCTTTGAGCTATCCAGTTTCCTTTTACAAAATGTCCTTTCTGACTGAATAAATCAGAAAATCTGGCTGACTTAAAATGTGAATAGGGTGACTCTGCATGCCTGTTTTCCCAGAAAAGTTTTAGTTTATGCTGGTTGTTGTAGTAGTAAATATTGATAACACACAATTTTACTTTATAAAGTTTCCACATTCATACAATAAATTAATTATATTGTATACCTAACAATGAGGACATATCTCCCTTTTGTAACATGTAAATGAAGATGATATAAATAGTGTACTAGCTAGTATATTCTAGGTAATTTAAAAATAGGATTAAAAAACCTAAATTTTAAATTCACAGACTCTGATCATGCCTGTTTCTATAACATATTTGGACATGAATCATTCATGTTTGAAGCTGTATAATTAACAGATTTCTTGCCTCAAAGTAGGTGTAAGTTGGGCAGCATTTATGTCTATGATAAGAATTAAAGAACATAGCATATTTTACCTCTATTTGTGGTTGTTGTTGAAATAAGTGTTTATAACCTTCAGCGAACATTAGAAAAGTAATTAATTTATTCATATTTTAAGGAGAGCTGCTGGAAGCCAAGAAATGAAAAGAGAATGGGGAAATCCAGACAGATTTATGTATATATTAAGGTAAGGACTAGTTTTACAGAAAGTTGTAAGAGATTTAAGAATGTATGAAAACCCAAAGTAGTGCAAATAGCATAATATTCAATGACTTTTTATTAAAAAATGTGTAACTCCTACTGTTAAAATCTCCACATAGTCTGATAATTTATTTTCTATCCTCCCCATTAGAATGTAAAATGACCCAAACTAACCTTTTATAAATGGAAACTTCATAAATTAAGTTTTATCTTAGACTGAATTTTAGAGTTGGGAATTATTATACTCAGAACAATTTGTAATTCAACATCTCTCTCATCACAGGGTTTATCTTGGAGGTTGAAATCACAATTCAAGAGGAAATTCTTCATGGGACATTCTAAAGGAAAGTAATGATAACTAATGTACCCACCAGAACCTCTTCTCACGTAAAAATTGCCGCTGTCCCCAGCAAATTCCGTCAATCATTTTACAAATGCTAGCTTATTAAAGATATACCAAAAAGTAGGTAACTAGGGCTAAATCTGAGACCATGATGTTTCAGAGTTTTAGAATATTATTGTGAATACACAGGAGAAAACAAATTTAAATTTTGTAATCACATTTGAAAAGTCAGAGCATCACTTTGAGGGTGGCATTGAGATTTATGGCCAGAAGTCAAGTTCAGCTTTAAGTTTAATGCCATTCAGCCTGTATCTGTGTCCCTGCAGCTAGGGTAGCTAGCTAGGTTCCTGTTTCTTCTTGGACAACCATCTCTATCATAGTCATTTATTTCTATTTTTAAATATAGCTTGGTACATGGGTTTATCTTAAAAGTACAACACATACTCAGTTTCCAACTATTTCAAGATGAAGTTCATAACTAAATCACAGTAAGGTGTACTTTTCCTAGAATATTTTGCATTGCCCAAAGCCTTTCCCTTTAACATAGTACAATGAAGCCTAGGATGTGAGCTTTTATCTAGTAGCTGATTTGCATAATGTAAGTATGCACACATACATATATGTAAATGCACATATGTGTGTTTTCTGAAATGTGGTTTTCTGTTTCAACTTGGTTCTTATTAGAATGATTTTTTAAAGTGACTAAATATTCTTTAGATTCATTTGTTTTTTCAATAAAATTGACATAGTAACTCATTTTTGAGAAAATAAGCTTCTGTATATAATAATGGATGACATCCATTCTTTGTCATTGTCTATGTAACATTCTCTGCCTACCCTATTTTTTTTTAACTCCCTTCAACCCATTTTCCAATATGGCGTAGCTTGAAATTCTCACTCTAAAAAAAATCCATTCACTAGCATGGAAAATATATCAGCATATAAATTTCAAATATAGTGAAAATATGAATAATATCTTTGAAGTAAGTTTACTAGTTGAATAGCTATGTTAAAAGTAATTGTGTAAAACAGATACTAGATTTGCATTCTAAAACTCATAGAGTAACAATGTTTTCTTACATAAAGTTTTTGGTATAATAGGTTTTACTTGAAGAGGACGAATTTAGGAAAGTCTCATTTTACAGTAGGTTTCTAAAAGGACTTTAGGCTTATTTTACATAGCCATTGATTTTTACAGATCATTAGACTGACCACATATTATTTTAATCTAGCTGCATTTAGTTAAATTGGTTATTTGTAATGTTTGTGACTTTTGCTAACTTAAATTGCTTGTTTATTAGCATACGACCTGCATAAAAATAATTGTTATTGAAGAATATCACTACCAGAAATTGCAAATATTATCACTATGATTTAAAAATTAAGTATAAAACCACCATGGAATACTATGCAGCCATAAAAAAGGATGAGTTCGTGTCCTTTGTAGAGACATGGATGAAGCTGGAAACCATCATTATGAGCAAACTATTGCAAGGACAGAAAACTAAACACTGCATGTTCTCACTCATAGGTGGGAATTGAACAATGAGAACACTTGGACACAGGGTGGGGAACATCACACACTGGGACCTGTCACGGGGTGGAGGGATAGGGGAGGGATAGCATTAGGAGAGATACCTAATGTAAATGACTAGTTAATGGGAGCAGCAAACAAACATAGCACATGTATACATATGTAACAAACCTGCACGTTGTGCACATGTACCCTAGAACTTAAAGTATAATAATCAAAAATTAAGTATAAAACAATAATTAAGATAAATACAAAATAAATCTGTTTATTTTAATTCTCATGTTTATTTGAAGGGATGTTTTAATATACTCTACTACACTTTTTTTACCAAGTTGAATTTTAAAATATTTTGATAATAATTCCCCCATGTGTTACTCCTTCTGAAATTGAAAATGAATACAGTAACTAAAACATAAAGCATCAAAAACCTGTAACTTTGCTCATAAGTTTTACCATTTATTTACTTTGACCAAAGTAATATAAAAATAATCGGTGATAATAACATATTTTAAATTTTTTAAAGTATAATTCTTTTCAGTTTTTTTAATGTTACAACATCATTAGGACACTATTTAGAAGATTATTTACTGACTCATTAGGATTACTATTTCATTTGCAAATTTACCAATTCAGCCAAGTTTTGCCTTTTACTGAAGTGTTAATTCTAAGTAAACAAAGTATATGGCTTCAAATCTTAAATGAACGGGTTTCACACCATTATTTATCAAACAATTTTGCTACTTTCATTCCTCCACCCCAGCAGCCCTTTTAGCAATTTTTTTTTTCCTAACTTCCCAAGGGAAACTTTCATACCAGAGATAACTGTTTATGTACTATGTGGTTCTTTGGAGGACCACAGACCATTGTAATAGCTAAGATACCGCCACTCAAACTGTTCCCCCTTGTGGGTGATATAATCCCCATTGAGAATGTATGGTTTATTCCTACAGATTTTACCACAGTTTAGTCACCTATTTACTATTCATGGTATTGCTGAAGGAAGACTTGCTGAAATATTACCAGCCATAAAATATGTCAATAGCATTAGGAGATATTGAATGGCACTTTATCTCTGAGGTGGTCTTGAAAACTCAAAATCAAATGTCTTATCTCAATGAGATGTTTCAAAGAAAAATCACCAGGTGCAAAAATTTGTTTCCATAAATTATAGTTCAGCTCATAGGACTTAAACATCTGCCAAAATGTCAATCAAAAGATGTTGAAAAGCTCCCCTAATCTTTGTCAAAAGGAGACTTTTTCTTTCTTTTGTTTTTTCTTAATTCCACCTTGGCCTATTACAACTAACATCAGCACACATACCCCTGGCAAAGAGTTTGCTGCACTGCGTTCTCCTCTGGTCCCTTCTTCTTAAATCCTATGTTAATATGCTGCTTGGTGAAAGTCTTCTTAGGGCAAGACAGCATTATTGCATTATTGGCAAAATAACAGCAGAAGCTTGTAAATGAGTCTGACAGCTCAAAATGGAAGACTTGTCCAGCAACAGGCTTTTATGTAACAGTGTGTTAATAACATCATTTTGAAGAAACAAATGAATTAAAAGTATCTATAATTGTTATTATTTGCCCATTGATTGGAGATAATTTTATGTGAATATCTATCCAATATCTGACAAAAATCGACTGTTAAAACGTGAGTTGGTGGTGGCAAATATTAATTTTCAATGGTATTATTTTCTGAGAAATACTTTAAAATGTTTTCCTAGGATAAATATAGTATATTAAATAATGAGTTTCACTTGATAATTTAAGGAAGAGAAAATAACTCTCTAGAATAGCACTGTTATGAATAATAAAAGCATATATAGATCATTGTAGGCCTATTCATAATTCGTGCTTTTATACATACTCTAGGTTTATTGTATAACATCATTTAATCAAGAAAAACAAAGTGGGGACTCAATGTCAAATAAAAAAGAGTGAGTACAAAAAGTGGTACCCGATTTTACCACTGATACTTTGAAATCTGAATCTTTAGGGGAAAAAAAAATGTTTCAGATGTAAAAAATCCAATACAGTATCTGTTATTTAAATTAGAAGACTTGATTTATTTAATATAAAAATATTTTATAAATTTATATAAATAATATTTAAATGAGAAGGAAACTATAAAATATTAAAGTAATTTCAGTTAACTTTCATACATATTATATGACTATGAAATGATACATTGATTTTATTCATAACTACACTCATAAGCCTTAACTAACATGTTGCATTTGTTATATTATGTATTTGATTTAGATTACCTAGGTACCTATTAAACTTCACTACAAAGGAATATTTAGAAAGCCTATGCCTTTTTTACTTTCTAATTTATCTTAAATTTAAAAATCAGAGATTATTAGATATGTTAGCATACTTAAAAATGGCAAATTATCATGCTACCTTTTTTCTGTTGGCAATGCATTTTCAACTCATTTATATTTTAAAATTAACACTAGGAATTTTAATAAATCATTGTTGTTTGTCTATATTTATTTTTGAACATGTTCTTTAAGATTAGCAGCAACCCATAATGAATACCTATAATTGATTTATTATGATTATAGGTAAAACAGAAACACATTTAGACCAGGACCCTAATCACCTTTCCATTATTTCTACACTTTTTTTTTTTAAAGTTTCTATACCTATATTAATGTCCATGGTTCCTGTGGAAAGAAAGAGACTGCTCCTTTTCAGAATCTGCTTTCTAACTATTTGGGATCTCTCCTGAGCGATTCTTCATAATAGAAGGATTTCAAAAATAGACCTGGTGTTATGAATGTAATATAAGCCTTCAAAGTTTTTGTGCTGCCTTGACATTCTTGACTTCACAGAGTCTCAAAGGTCTAACTGTGAGATCTCTGGCTGTTTCTATGTATGCCCCTCACCCAGTGGGAAAGGCTCACCACCCAGTGGGAAAGGCTCACCACTAGATCCCCTATCAGCCAGACCAGCTGCACTCCATGCCATCCTCACCCTAATATGTTTCCTTTCCCTGCCGGTCTGTGAAATTATTCAAACAAACAAGTCACATTCCAATGTGGAAACCTGGGGTCACCACATCCTCTATTACTAATACAAATCCACCTCCCCCAGCTTCTGCTGGCTTGTTCATTCTGTTCTTGAGTGCAACCCCCCTGTGTTTCTGCATAGCAAGCGGTGTCCTCCCTCTCCAGGATGTGTGTGTTATGTGACTAATAAACTGCTGTCAATGTTATTTTTCCAGTCAGGTGTCATGTGTTTGGCCATCCCTGGAAGCCAAGAACAGGACTCCCTCCTTCACCAGTGAGGTAAAAAGGAGTGAAGTCAAAACAGTGGTAGAGTAAAGAGCTTTGTTTTAAAATAAAATTCAAATTAAAACCAAATAAACCACAAACCACAGAGAGCACTCAGATACATAGTCATAACTTCTATTTTGTATAATATAAGAAAATAAACAATTATTTTATTATATATATATGCACACATCTCTCTATTATTTTGTAAGTGGACATTAAATTATTTTGCTTTTGATATTTATAATATTTAAGTTCTTAAAGATTCAACAATATAAATTCATTGAGATTTTTCTTAATATGCTATCAAGTTATACTCTGATCATTGCCTCTAGGTTCTTGGCATTTTATTCCACATGAGGTCATGCCACTTCCTTCTCAAAGCTATGCAGAACTAGTGCCTAATCGGCATTATATGTATATATATCAGAGTCTCAGATTTTCTTCATGATGGATGCATTGTGCTTCATAAAATGAAAAGCCAATGACACAGTAGAGGCAAAAAATAGCAACATCACCAAAATTATAGTTATTGTCACAGAATCTATTCAGATTTGAGTTTTCACACATTAGCTAGATCTTCCCAGTGGATCTATTTTTGAAAAAAATAATTGTTTCAGTTCAGTGCCCAGAAAGAGTAAACATACTCCTAATGCACTTTTTAAATTTCCCATGTGTGTATATCAAATATGATAATGTGGAAGAGTTTGCTGTTCCAAAGTGTCACGAAAATGGGAGCTACATTGGCTGGATTTTCAACTTGAAAAAAAGGATTATGTCATGTTTATCTTTGTATTTCCAGCATCTGGCAGAGGGCATGGCACGGTGCAGCTGCACAGAATAAGGCAATTAATTAATAGCATGTCTGGTTCCACAAAGGATTTGAGGTAGTTTATAGGAAATGTATACAATAAGATATCAAAATGTAAGTATAGTCTAAACACATTCTTGGGGAAACTACAAATTGGAAAAGGCTATCAGCACCCAACCTGCAGACCATAAGGTCCTTAGAGCCATTTTAATGTGGTTACAGGTTTACATCTGAGTATTATGGTGTCTGAAGCAAAAATGGGAAATACCACTTTTGCACTTTTGCTAGTTTAAAAGGGCATGCTTATATGTAAATTGTATTCCGTATTTCTACTCACAAGATGCCAAATTCACAGAATTATATTTTCTTTTTTCACACTCTGCCAGTAAGGATGGCATAATTTTTAAAAAGTGCTTATAAGTTATTAATCACCCCAGCACATGCCCCCTCATTTTGACTAAACACATTTTACCTTTCAAAATAGTGTATCTCCATTTATAAAATGTACTTTTTTTAATATCCTTTGGAAGGTGGCCAAATTATGAAAATAAAATACTACATTGGGAGTTACTTCATAATATCAGGAGGAAACTTGTGGTTGTCTTAGGAAAACAAAATGTTTTTAAAGGCACTGAATTTAAAAAGATGTCTTCAATGTAGGCTTTCATATAAAAGACACTGAGATATGTCAATATTATGGAAGCTATCTCCATAGAGCAAACACACGAGTTTTTTTCTTTTGTTTTGTTTTTGAGACGGAGTCTCACACTGTCGTGCCCGGGCTGGGGTGCAGTGGCGCGATTTTGGCTTATTGCAACCTCCGCCTCCCAGGTTCAAGTGATTCTCCTTGCCTCAGCCTCCCAATAGCTGGGATTACAGGCGCCCACCACCACGCCCGGCTAATTTTTTTGTACTTTTAGTAGAAATGGGGTTTCACTATATTGGCCAGGCTGGTCTCGAACTCCTGACCTCGTGATCCGTCCGCCTCGGCCTCCCAAAGGGCTGGGATTACAGGCGTGAGCCATCGCGCCCATCCCACATGAGTTTTTAAGACTATTTTCGTAGTATTTTTTCAGTCAATTAGCCCAATTCACAATTTGAGCACTGTGCTCAAAGAATTTATAGGGTGCCAAGATCCAATAATCTGCATAGAACTCTTTAACTATCTGATGTAATCCATGTTCACAATGTTAATTGCCCAGAAATATAAATGGACCCCATATGCTTTAGAAACTTTCTTCAAATAGTATTATATCTCTATTAATCTATCTTTAAATAAAAGGTTAAGCTTAAAAATGCTCATAATTGTACAATGAATTATGGTAAATTTGAACTATTTCACATGTAGAACGAGGTCAAATACACATGTCCATGTCTTCAAAAATAATACTCTAGAAGAAATATTTATATTATATGCAAAACAGTGCTTAGATTGGGCCCTTATTTCTTTTAAAATATATATATTTTATTTATTTATTTATTTATTTATTTATTTGGAGACAGAGTCTCACTCTGTCACCCAGACTGGAGTGCAGTGGCGCGATCTTGGCTCACCGCAACCTCCGCCTCCCGGGTTCAAGCTATTCTCCTGCCTCAGCCTCCTGAGTAGCTGGGATTACAGGCGTGGGTCACCACTCCAGGCTAATTTTTGTATTTTTTAGTTGAGATGGGATTTCACCATGTTGGCCAGGCTTCCTTATTTGTTTATTATTAACTGGGGGAAGGAGGTTTGAGATGTTTGTCAAAGGACACAAAATTTCAGTTAGCAAAGATAAGTACAAAAGATATATTGCACATCATGGTGACTATAGTTCATGACAATGTATTGTATTCTTAAATATTGTTAAGGGAGTAAATTTTAAGTTTTCTCATCCTCTCTCCAAAAGGAATGAGTATGTGAAGTAATGCATTTGTCAATTAGCTATATTTAACCATTTTACAATGTATACCTATTTCAAAATAACATATTAGACACAATAAATACATACAATTTTATTTGTCAATAAATACAATTAAAAACAAAAAGAAAAACAGAGAGAATAATATGAAGAAAAGAGGGAAAGAGAGGTTTTCAATGTTAGCCAACTATTGAACTATAAGATTTAAAAATTATAAAAATTACGGTTAACAATTCTAAAAACTTAGTAAAAACTTGAGGTAGAAAATATGCCAAACATAATTGAAATAGGTGGAGGAACTTAGATCCCAAAGTATAATAATGCAGCTCAAAAAATAAAAGATGCTTAACTCACTTTAATCATGCCCTACCTACTTCCTGTGTATGTTATGAGGCTTAGAGAATTGATGTACATAATGAAGCTTTATCAACTATAAGTCACTGTATCTTAGCTATCTAAGTGAACCATTATTTTACTTGCTTTTGGCTGTTTGTAACATAATTTAAAAGGAAAAACTATAGGAAGTCGGCTGAGCAAAACCCAAATGCATACCTAGAACCTTCATCTGATTCTCCAAACAGTATTTTTTAATCAAAAGGTCTGATAGTTGTTAAGATTATGATGAAAACATGATAGAGGAGTGTAAAAACAAAACATTAGACCCATAGAAAATTCTGCAAAAGGATGGTCCCTTTTTTAATGCTTATTCTCTAATAAACCTAAGTGTAAACTTAATAGAATTCATACGGCACATTTCCATACCAGTCTCATCATAGTCGAGCTTATATTATATTTAGGTACCATCTCATATTACACATTGTAAACTTTGAATTTATGTGTATGTATGAATATATATATATATGTATATATACCAGTGTTAAAAATAATAATGTAGTTGGTACATTAGTAAGAATCACAATAACAAGATTCATTTACTGACTATAGATTGAAGTTATACTCTCAAATTAGTACATTATACATCACCTTATATATGTGCTACTCACACTAAATACTAGCTCTTTGGGTAAATAAAACTGATACTATTTGAGTAGTATCACAGCTGAAAACTTAAAAACCAGAGAAAAGCATTAGAAATGGAGCAAAAAATGAGGAAAGTCAGAGACAAAGGCTGTCTAGCAACTATAAGGAGAACAGTAAAGCCCTGGAAAGTATATCTACGTAAGTCCTTCTTTAATTCTGATTTTACTCACATCAATTCACCTTCTAACCACTATATAACTCCCCCAGACATTGCCTACAGGGAATAAGAATAAATAACTTAAACAAAGTAGATAACCAAAATAAATTTTCAAATAGGCCAGATACCTGTAATCCCAGCACTTTGGGAGGCAGAGACGGGTGGATCACCTGAGGCCAGGAGTTCGAGACCAGCCTGGCAAACTTGGTGAAACCCCATCTCTACTACAAATACAAAAATTAGCTGGGTGTGGTGGCAGGCGCCTGTAGTCCGAGCTACTCACGAGGCTAAGGCAGGAGAATCACTTGAACCCGGGAGGCGGAGCTTGCAGTGAGCAGATATTGTGCCACTGCACTCCAGCCTGGGTGACAGAGAGAGACTCTGCCTCAAAACAAAACAAAATAAAACAAAAAAATAAATAAGTAAATTTTCAAATAAATAAATGGATGATAATTACAACATGAAATTAACTTATTTGAACTTCTTTTTTGCTATATGTCTTTGCTTCTCATTTGTCTACAAATTATAAATTCCCAAATACCAAACATTTTACCATATACTTTTCTTAATTTATAACATATCACTACCTGAGTTTCTTGCTTAGGCTGTATGTACTTTAACATTGAATTATGTTTTACACTCACTTTTAGTAGGTTCACAGTATACATTTATTCTTTGAGTCTCCAAAATAAAATATATCACCAATATCAAATTTGTAATTCTATGTGTCAAATAAGATATGACATCACTAATTCTTTTTTCCTTTAGTGGCTCAGAGAATAGGACGAATTTGTAATTTCTGAGATTAATCAACTAGAAGCATATGCAGTTGTCCCTCCATATCTGTGGAGGAGTGGTCCCCTGAAGATACCAAAATCCACATATGCTCTAGTCCCTCATATAAAATGCCATAGTATTTGCATATAACCTATGCACATCCTCCCATATTCTTTAAATCATTTCTAAATATCTTATAATAACTAATGCCATGGAAATAGTTGCTATATTATATGTATTTTTAAATTTTTGTTATTACTTATTGTTGTATTATTGTTTATTTTTACTTTTTAAAATATTTTTCCATTCAAAGTTGGTTTAACTGATATGGGAGCCACAGATACAGAGAGCTGACTTATTTATGTTCAAAATTATGGCATCACTTAAACATATATGAAAATCACTTCTTAAAACAACAAATAGGAAGATATCAAGAGACATGATTTGAACTAATTGAAATATTTGCACTGGAGGGGTGCTTTCCACAAATTATTACACTATTGATGTAACTAGAAACATAGAGCATATCACTAAAAAGACTGAAATGGTAAGTTTTAATTTCAGATTTCTAGAGCCACTTCAATTTTGTCATAGTGAAAACTTTGATAATGCAAGTTTGAACTTAAGTTTCTTCATGCAGCCTGGGTGACAGAGCAAGACTCTGTCTCAAACAAAAAAAAAAAAAAAAAAAAAGGAAATAGACTGGAAAGCATGCATGCAACATGTGAACAACGGCATTTTTTTACAGAACTACTAAGAGTGTACATTTTTCCTAGATATCAACTACAGATATATTCACATCTTTTGAGTTTGTATTAGGTGATTCCTAAGGTTTCCGGCAGGTCTGTAACTGTGATATATTAATGTTGCTGAACAATGAATGAATGAATTCAAGAATACAGCTACTCTGATTTAGAAAACAATAATGATACAGTGATTATTCTGATATGAAATACAGTTGTTTTTCTGGGAATGCTTTCTTTTGGACTAAAGAGCTACAGCTCAGATTCTAATAGCTTGTCGTTTGTATAGAAGGGTATCTGCCTTTTAAAATCAGAATGTAATTAGGTTCCTCACAAACTAAAAGTAAAACTGCCATATGATCCAGCAATCACATTTCTAGTTATATATCCAAATAAATTGAAATCAGTATGTTGAAGAGACATATGTATTATCTTATTCACTGAAGCATTATTTACAATGGCAAAATTTTGAATTGACTGGAGTGTCTATCAATGGATGAACGAACAAAGGAAATCTGGGATAAATACACAATGAAATACTACTCAGCCTTATAAAAGGAGGATTCTGCCATTTGTGACAATGTGGATGAGCCTGTAGGACATTATTCTAAGTGAAAGAAGCCAGGTACAGAAAGACAAATACTCCATGGTTTCACTTGTATATAGAATCTAAAAATGTTGATCTCATAGAAGTAGAAATTACAATGATGCTTACCAAAAGCTAGGGTGGGGTAGGGGGATGAAATATGGAGTTGATGGTAAAGGGTACATAGATTCACATCGATAGGGGAAATAAGTGTTTGAGACCTGTAACAGTATGGTGAATATTGTTAAAAATAATGTATTGCATATTTCAAAACTGCTTTAGTACATTTGAAATATTCTCACCACAAAAAATGGTAAGTATATTAAGTGATGGATACGTAGCTTGATTTAATTATTCCACAATGTATACACATATCAGAACACTACATTGTATTCTATATATACAATTACTGTCAATTTAAAACAAATTTTTTAAAATTCAAATCAAATCAGGCTGAATATTTTGCTGGCCTCACCGGGGCACCACAGCATATGCAACTCTTAATTTCATTGAGAAAAATTTTGAATTTTTATCTAGAAATATGTATATCCTTTAATACATGTGAATATAAATTTATACTAGAAGCCTTGTTACACATCTAATACTCATTCAATAATTCATGTATCTAACTTTTAAAATTTTCTCTCTTTTTTGAGAGGGGCATATCAGTACGTTGCCCAGGCTAGTCTTGTTCTCCTGGACTCAAAGCAATCCTTGCACCTCAGCCTCCCAGCAGCTGGGATTACAGGTGTGTGACCACTACATCTAGTTTTTAACTTTAAAGCACCAACAATGTCAAACAAAGCCAATTAGCAGAAATTACTAGTAATAAAGCATGCTCAAAAAAAATCTATGTTTTATAATGTTTTTCTGATTATAATGATTTAAAAAAAAACCCCTATTTTGTGCAGCCTAATACAATAATATATCATGTAAAATTTAATTATAGAATATAGGACATACATTTATTTCAGAAGCAGCATGATAAAAATACATTGGTAGTTTATATAAAATAAAACATATACAGGGAAAAATATCGGAAAAAATCCTCTTGTTAGGTGGAAAAATACTCATTTGTTGGTGGGAAAAATATTAATTTGGCTGTGAAAGTAGGTTTATCATCAAAGCTAGAGAGAATAATTAATATAGTCACAGGAATCTATAGGTTACTTCACCCCTGTGTAGTCTTTTAAAAATGTAATGGGAAATACAGATTCTCCTTGACTTACAATGGGGTCATGTCCCAGTAAGTGCATCTTAAGTTGAAAATATCCTTAAGTCAAATGCATTTAATACACCTAACCTACCAAACATCATAGTTTAGACTAGCCAACTTTAAATATTCTCAGAACACTTACATTAGCCTACATTTGAGCAAAATCATCTTAAAAAAGCCTATTTTATAATAAAATGTTGAATATGTCATGCAACTTATTAAATACTCTACTGAATGTAAAAAACAGAATGTTTGTATGGGTACTCAAAGTACCCATATGAATGCACATGACTTTCGATCCATGGAAAAGTCTGAAAAATTTTAAGTCAAACCATCCTAAGTCAGGGACAACCAGTACATTACTGCCTACATGGTCTTCCTCAAAAATGCCCATTTCCATCTGGCTGTGTTTTGTTGTCTTTCAAAATAATGATCCTTGATAATTACCTTTTTGCATTGCACTTATTTTTGTGTTAAAATTATACCTTTCTGAGCCATGTAATATTTAAGTTAGTCAAATTATTACAAAACAGATTTGTATTTTTGAGTTGTCATTAGTTGTAGAATTATTTAAGGGAAAAAACTTCAGATATTTATGTTGACAAGAAATGGACAGCAGCTATTATCCAATCCCTTGCAGGTATACTTTGGTAAGTACAGATTAGTGAAATCAGAGATATTCCCTGATTTCCCTTCATAGAACTTCAGATGGTGTATAATTTCACATTGCTCAGATATTAAAAGGTGAATAATAAAATCATTAGTCCCTTACTAAAAAGTTTGTTATAAATGAATATATATTCACATATATAAAGATATACATACATACACACATATACATTATAGCCACATGTTGTAAGTGAATAGTGAATTAATGAAACTAATTAGCACAAATGCAGCTTCTGAAATTAGGTCATCTATAAAAGAAAAATAGGAACAAAATGGAATTCGACAAACACTGAAAGTTTAATTAAAATTAATACTGAATTTTCAAAAGAATCTGTTTATGGGGTACATAAAATGTAACACTGTGACTGGTAAGTATGGCAAGGTTTAATTTATATGTTTCAACTCCATCATTATTGTAGCATTTGAAATGTCATTTTAATGTCACTAATCTTTTTCTTTTTTTTTTTTTTTTTTTTTTGAGACGGAGTCTCGCTCTGTCGCCCAGGCTGGAGTGCAGTGGCGGGATCTCGGCTCACTGCAAGCTCCGCCTCCCGGGTTCACGCCATTCTCCTGCCTCAGCCTCCCAAGTAGCTGGGACTACAGGCACCCGCCACTACGCCCGGCTAATTTTTTGTATTTTTAGTAGAGACGGGGTTTCACCGTTTTAGCCGGGATGGTCTCGATCTCCTGACCTCGTGATCCGCCCGCCTCGGCCTCCCAAAGTGCTGGGATTACAGGCGTGAGCCACCGCGCCCGGCCGTCACTAATCTTTTTCTTATCTTGCATTGTGAATACACATACACATACACAATGTATATGTGTATTGTATACAATGTATATTCTATAGGTATATATTTATATATAAGTATAAAGGTATATGACCATAGTGTCATACTGTCATATAGTATGTAGTTTATATGGTAACATAGATATATAAAAGTTAGCTTATGTTTCTTAGCAGTTGAAACCACTAAACTCTACTTGTAACTGTAATCAAATTGTAGTTTATTTTAGAAATCAATAGAAATTACTATCTGCTCAAAAATGTTCTGTTGGGCAGTAATAAAAGAAATTTAAGATCAAGATTGAAAAGGCATTATGAACAGCTTTAAGTCAGAAATTTGAAAAGTTACAGAAAATTAAAACATTAACTGCAAATATGTAAATTATTAAAACAGACTGAAGAATATTACATTTCATAAACTCTGTGTAATGGTGTAACTGCCCAATGGCTTTACCTTACCCGCCACCTAGACTGAGCTGATTTATCAAGACAGGAGAATTGCAATAGAGAAAGAGTGATACACAGAACTGGCTGGCTGTGTGGGAGACTGGAGTTTTATTATTACTCATATCAGTCTCCCAGAGCATTCGCGGAGCAGAGTAGGGGGAGGCCAGTGAGCCGGCAGAGCTAATTGGTCAGGTTAGAGGCAAAATCACAGGGAGTCAAAGCTGTCTTCTTGTGCTGAGTCAGTTCCTGGGTGGGGGCCACGAGATTAGATGAGCCAGTTTATTGATCTGGGTGGTGCCAGCTAAACCATCAAGTGCAGGGTCTGCAAAATATCTCAAGCATTGATTTTTTTTGTTTTTTGTTTTTTGTTTTTTTTTGCGGCGCACTTGTACTTTTATCACGGACAATATGCCCCCATTCACATCCCCAAATCAGTGCTGTCCAGGCCACACCCAGGAGCCCCTGTCCAACCACTGCCCTCCCAGGGCCTCGCCCAGGCTTCCGTCACATACTAGGACGCACAGCAGCTCTTCCACTCTTACCTGAGGTTGTATTTTAAAAGCACATGCTGGTTGTAAACACTTCCAACAATGCAGAAATGAGCAAGAGGAAAGTGGAACTTGCTGTGGACAAGGCCACAGGACCACACTTTTGTTCCTGTTGGGATGCCTGGGTCGGTTTCACAGGTCGCCTCGCAGTCCTGCAGGCTGAACTCGTCTGTCTGGGCGCCCTGTGCTGCCTACCTCCTGGGCACTCTGGGGCGATGTGGACGGATGCGCTCTTGTCTAAGGTTCGGTGCGTGCAGTCAGGAATCTGCACCAAGAATGGTCTGTCCATCAGTGAGGGAGAGTCCTCCCCGGGAGGGGCTTCCGTGCCTCCCATTCTGGGCACTTCCGGACTTTCTGCAGGAAGTGCTGTCTCTGAGTCATTCTGTTTTGTCCCGAGGCTGCTGTGAGGACGGGGACAGGTGAGCACATTCTGGAGGGTAGGGACGTGGGGGACGGCTTCAGTCCAGGCACAGCGGCAGGTCCCAGCTGCCCCGCTTTCCCTGGCCCGAGAAGAGCAGCCCCCAGCAGGCTGCGGGCACAATCCCGGCTCACGTAAGGCCTAGACCGCACTGCAGGGCCCCAGCAGCCCGCCTTAATTTTCACCTTTGTTCCCTCCTGCTTTCCAGCTTTGGGGTCCTTGTTAAGAGGGACTCGAACCACAAGGTTATAAACACGACACCTGCATTCCCTTCCAATCCTTCATGGTTTTCTTTTTAACACACGAATCTTACAACCTTTACTTTTTCCAACTGGAAAACCAGTTTTTCCAACACTTTTTAAAAAACAAATTATCCTTTTATCATATACTGAAAGCCCTACCCATAACAAGCCCACTTCTGCCTTTGACTGTTCACTGACCCTTCATTTACTTCCTAAACCAACCCTTTTTGGTAACTTTCAGTAAAGAGGTGGCTTTAACAAATATATTCTCCAGAAATCTCCAGAACCTTTGCGTGGGTCAGGGTGAAAGGTGCCGCCAGGATGTAAGCAGAACAGCTGAGTCCTCCTGGTAGGTGCCAGGTGCGATCTACACAGACCTCGTGTGTGGCAGACATGGAGTCAGACACGCTTCCTCAAAACGCAGCCCCTGTCTCTGGCAGAGCACACAGCCTCCAGGGCCCTGTGGACAGGGCTGGTCCCAGTGTATCCACGCCACTTCCTGGGCTTGGGGGGTGGTAGGCCAGAGGCTGCCCGCAGCAGGAAGCCCACGCAGAGGCCAGGGCCTCTTGTTCCACTTGTGAGAGACCCCAGAAGGAACCAGGGGGCATCATCGGAGCCTGGGGCCCTGGCAGGGGAGCCCAAGGGCACAGCAGCTGCAGGCCGTTGGCAAGGCCAGAAGACGGTGAGTGGAAAGCCCGGGCGCGTGGAGAGACCCCAAGAAGGGGCTGTTCAGCTGTGAATCCTGCATTTGCCGTTCGTGTTTCATCTGGCGGTTTTGAAACCAGGTTTTCATCTGGACCTCTGTGAGCTGCATATCCCCGGCCAGCCACTTCCGCTCCAGAGGGCCCAGATACTGGTAGTGCCGGAAGACGCTCTCCAAGGCGCGAACCTGCTCTGTGGTGAAGGTTGTACAGACATGGGACCGCCAGGAGTTTGGCTCCTTATTCAACCCTTCACAGAACAGGGTCATGCAGCCTCTCTGTCCTGGGCCCCCACCCCAGCCCCTTACTGCGGCTGGGGTGGCTCCTCTCTCCTCTCAAGCACTAATCCTAGAAGCAGTTTAGGGAGGGTCAGAATCTTGTAGCCTCCACCTGCATGACTCCTAAACCGTAATTTCTAATCTTGTGGCTAATTTCTTAGTCCTGCGAAGAGAGTCTACTCCTTAGGCAAGAAGGAGGTTTGTTTTGGGAAAGGGCTGTTATCTTTGTTCTAAACTATAAACTAAGTTCCTCTCAAAGTTAGTTCAGCCTATGCCCAGGAATGAACAAGGACAGGTTGGAGGTTAGAAGCAAGATGGAGTTGATTAGATTAGATCTCTTTCACTGTCTCGGTCATAATTTTGCAATGACGGTTTCAATGGTATGTTAGTGTTCATTTTATTCTCCATTTTATTGTGTATCTACATCTGTACTTTCATGTGCGTCCGTGTGAAGAGACCACCAAACAGGCTTTGTGTGAGCACCATGGCTATTTATTTCACCTGGGTGCAGGTGGGCTGAGTCCAAAAAGAGAGTCAGCAAAGGGTGGTGGATTATCATTAGTTCTTATAGGTTTTGGGATAGGCAGTGAAGTTAAGAGCAATGTTTTGCGGGCAGAGCTGGATCTCACAAAGTACATTCTCAAGAGTGGGGAGAATTACAAAGAACCTTCTTAAGGGTGGGGGAGATTACAAAGTACATTGATCAGTTAGGGTGGGGCAGGAACAAATCACAATGGTGGAATGTCATCAGTTAAGGCTATTTTTACTACTTTTATGGATCTTCAGTTACTTCAGGCCATCTGGATGTATACCTGCAAGTCACAGGGGATGTGATGGCTTGGCTTGGGCTCAGAGGCCTGACATTCCTGCCTTCTTATATTAATAGGAAAAATAAAACAAAATAGTGTTGAAGTGTTGAGGCGGCGAAAATTTTTAGGGGGTGGTATGGAGAGAGAATGGGCGATGTTTCTCAGGGCTGCTTCAAGTGGGATTAGGGGCGGCGTGGGAACCTAGAGTGGGAGAGATTAAGCTGAAGGAAGATTTTGTGGTAAGGGGCGATATTGTGGGGTTGTTAGAAGAAACGTTTGTCATTTAGAATTATTGGTGATGGCCTGGATACGGTTTTGTATGAATTGAAAAACTAAATGGAATAAGAGAAGGAGAAAAACAGGTATAAAAGGTCTAAGAATTGGGACAACCAAGGACATCTGATTAAAGAGTGCCTAAGGAGATTCAGCATAGTCCTGCCAGCAAAGATTATTTATTTACTTCAAGAGTTAAGAGTGGCAGTTTGGGGATAGCAGGAGGAGATATCAGCTGTGGTGGCTTGGAGAAACTGTGTAAACCGGCAGTGTAAACAAGAGCAGGGCATGTATGAGTAGTTGAGAACGGAGAATAGGAGTATGACTAGACGGAAAATAGTAGGGATGACAGGTTTTTTTGGGGGCACAGTCTAAGTTGGTCTGGTGTCTGGAATAAGACTGGGGCCTAATAAAAAGGAGCTCAAATGGGCTGTACCTTGTAGCATTCCGAGGACAGGCCTGAATTCTGAGAAGCGAAAGTGGTAAAAGTATTGTCCAGTCCTCTTTAAGTTGGTAGCTGAGCTTGGTGAGGTGTGTTTTTAAAAGACCTTTAGTCCATTCTACTTTTCTTGAAGATGGAGGACCGTAAGGGATATAAAGGTTTCACTGAATACTAACAGCCTGAAAAACTGCTTGGCTGATTTGACTAATAAAGGCTGGTCTGTTGTCGGACGGTATAGAGGTGGGAAGGCTAAACTGAGGAATTATGTCTGACAGAAGGGAAGAAATGACTGCGGTGGCCTTCTCAGACCCTGTAGGAAAGGCCTTTACTTATTCAGTGAAAGTGTCTATTTAGACTAACAGATATTTTAGTTTCCTGACTCAGGGCATGTTGAGTAAAGCTAATTTGCCAGTCCTGGGTGGGGGCAAATCCTCGAGCTTGATGTGTAGGGAAGGGAGGGGGCCTGAATAATCCCTGAGGAGTAGTAGAATAGCAGATGGAACACTGAGAAGTTATTTCCTTGAGGATAGATTTCCACGATGGAAAGGAAATGAGAGGTTCTGAGAGGCGGGCTAGTGGCTTATACTATAGCATAGCCTGCCTCTGCTGGTGTGTGGCAATTAGGCCTGATGGAACTGCCATCAAGAAATCAAGCGTGATCAGAGTGAGGAACAGGAAAGAAGGAAATATGGGGAAATGGGGTGAATATCGGGTGGATCAGAGGGATACAGTCATGGGGGTCAGGTGTGGTATCGGAAATAATGTGTGAGGCCAGATTGAAGTCCGGGCCGGGAACAATGGTAATTGTGGGACTTAACAAAGAGTGAGTACAGCTGAAGGAGCTGGGGAGCAGAAAGTATATGCGTCAGCTATGAGGAAGAAAATAGATTTTGGAAGTTATGAGAAATGTAGAGAGTGAGTTGAGCATAGTTTGTGATTTTTAGGACCTCTAAAAGTATTAAAGCAGTGGCAGCCACTG